>NC_000012.12:112460128-112611643 GCF_000001405.40 Homo sapiens
GTAGAGGTGGGGTTTCACCATGTTGGCCAGGTTGGTCTCAAACTTCCGACCTCAGGTGATCCACCCACCTTGGCCTCCCAAAGTGCTGGGATTACAGGCATGAGCCACTGTGCCCAGCAGCAATTTGTTTGAATTGGGAGTGCTTTCTTCCACCTTGATTATGAAAAAATTTCAAATGTGTATAAAACAGATTCATATAAAGGATCCTGATATGCCATTATCAGCTTTATCAATTATCCCTGTCATCATATTTTTTATTTATAAATATTTCAATATTTGTGGAATCCTTAAAAATGCATCACATAACCCAACATTGTTCATATTATACCAATTGTCTTATAATTTAAAAATATTTTGTTCAATCATTTTTCAGATAAGCTTCACACACTGTGGTTGGCTAAGTCTCATAATATTTCTGTTGTAAAAATCTTAAGTCTGGGCGTGGTGGCACACGGCTGTCATTCCAGCACTTTGGGAGGCTGAGGTGGGCGGATCACGAGGTCAAGAGATCGAGACCATCCTGGCCAACATGGTGAAACCCGGTCTCTACTAAAAATACAAAAATTAGCTGGGCGTGGTAGTGCGTGCCTGTAGTCCCAGCTACTCGGGAGGCTGAGGCAGGAGAATCGCTTGAACCCAGAAGGTGGCAGTTGCAGTGAGCCGAGATCGCGCCACTGCACTCCAGCCTAGAGACAGAGTGCGGCTTCATCTCAAAACGAAACAAAACAAAACAATCTTAAGTCTCTTAGAATACTTTGATGCCCCTTCCATCTCTCTTTTTCTGTCTTCCTTCCCCCTCTCCCTGTCTTTTCTGCTGTTGAAGAAAGCAGATCATTTGTCCTGAGAGTTACTTATAGTCTGAATTTTGCTGAGTGCCTCTCTGTGGTGGACTTAAGCATGTATCCATCCCTTATATTTCTTGTAAGTTGATATATCTAGAGACTTCATTGGATACAAGTTTTCTTTGGCAAGATAGCATGTATGGTGGTGTATCAGGAGGTGTTTATGTCCTGTTGTTTCTTCTCTGATTTTCTTAGCAGCTCCTGATCATTATTACTTAGATCCATTAATTCATAAGGGACTATATGGTAGTGATATTGTAATTTTATCATTCTTCTTCATTTGTTAGGTTGGCATATTTCTATAAAAAGCTTTTCATCGCCGAGGGTTGATTTTTTCCTTCTTACTAAGCAGTTTTCTTTTCTTTTTCTT
This sequence comes from Homo sapiens, assembly GCF_000001405.40. NCBI lineage: Eukaryota > Metazoa > Chordata > Mammalia > Primates > Hominidae > Homo > Homo sapiens. Next base: position 112,461,341 of record NC_000012.12, read on the forward strand.
TTTTTTTTTTTTGAGGTAGGTCTCACTGTGTTGCTCAGGCTGGTGTGCAGTGGCGCAAACACACAGTTGCGAACTCTTGGGCTGAGGTGATCCTCCTGCCTCAGTTTCCTGTGTAGTTGGGACCACAGGTGCATGCCACCATGCCTGGCTAATTTTTTGATTCTTTTGTAGAGATGAGGTCTCACTTTATTTCCCAGGCTGGTCTTGAATGTCTGGGCTCAAGCAATCTTTCTACCTCAGCCTCCTGAGTAGCTGGGACTACAGGCACATACCACCATGCCCAGCTAATTTTTTAATTTTTATTTTTAGTAGAGATGTGGTCGTATTATGTTGCTCAGGATGGTCTCGAACTGCAGAGCTCAAGTGATCCTCCTGCCTCAGCCTCCCAGTGTGCTGGGATTATAGGTGTACTACAGGCAAGAGCCAATGAGCCTGGTCAGATTTTTTTTTCCTGATTTGAAATCTGTTATGGGTTCAATTGATACTTCCAAATCAAACTCAGGGTTTCAGGATTTTTACTAACCTCATTGATCTTACCCATGTATCTCCTTTCTCTAATGCCAAAAATCCTACTTCTTGAAGCCATAATAAGATTATTCATTTGTTTTATCCCACATTACACACAACAATCTTAGAATAATGACTTCCCAATAATATGATTACTGAAAACAGTTTAATTTTTTTTGCGCTTTTCAAAAAAATCCTTCAGAGATGTGTAGTCAAGTTACTGTATTCTGCTGGGCACAGTGGCTCACGCCTATAATCCCAGTACTTTGGGAGGACAAGAAGGGAGGATCGCTGGACCTCAGGAGTTTGAGACCAGCCGGGGCAATATAGTGAGACCCTGTCTCTACAAAAGAAAATTAAAAATTAACCAGACATGGTGGCATGTCCCTATAGTCCCAGCTATTGAGAGGCTGTGGCGAGAGTAGGCTTAAGCCCAGGAGTTTGAAGCTGCAGTGAGATACGATTGTGACACTGTACTCTAGGGTGACAGAGCAGGGACCCTGTTTTTAAAAAAAAAAAATGAAAAAACTTCCTGTGCCTTAGACTCATTTGTAATCGTCCTTCTCTCTGTGTGGCTATATGCTAACTGGGTATATGGTTAGTTTATTTGTTTCATTTAAAAAATCTCTTTCTGTTAAGTTTTATTTATAATTACACAAATACTGGCTTTGATAGTCAAATTGAAAAAACAAAGTGTATTCAAAGAAGTCTACCTTCTATCCTTGTCCTTTCCTATGTTTTAGCCATAGTATAAAAAGTTATGGTTTATCATTATATTTCAAAAATATAAGAAGATATTCCCATATCCCACTTTTTCTTAAACAGTAGCATAACTTTACATACTTTTTTCTAACCTTGCTTTTTTAAATATCCTGGACATCCTGGATATCCATAATAGTGTCTAGAGATAGTCTTCATTCTTTTTTTACTGTATAGTAATCCACTGTGTACTTGTACCATAGTTTATTCAACCTATTGATGGGCATTTGGGTAGTTTCCAAATGTATCACAGAGAGGATTACAGTGAATAGCCTTGTGTATGCATCCTGCTTTACTTTTGCTGACTACTGGTAATATTAACATTTTTTATGTTCTGTATTTAAAAAATGGTGGTTATTATTCATCTATAACTTTTATTATACATGACTTTGGTTAGCATGCTTTAACCTTTTAGCATAACATTTGCAAGCTACTTGTTTTAATTAAAATTTTGGTTAAATGTAAAAAATAGTGAGCTATTTTGTAATCTAGATTCAATAGAATCTTATACTTCCTTTACAAATGATAGCTGAGTTGATCATTTGTGTAAATGACTGTGAACTTAAAAATTACAGCATTTTTTAAAATAAATTTTTTTAACATTTTAAAATTATTTAAAATAATAGACACACAAAGTAAAAAGAGAAGAAAAAAAAAAGAGACAGGGTCTTGCTATGTTGCCCAGGCTGGTCTCAAACTCCCAGGCTCAAATGATCCTCCTGCCTTGGCCTCCTAAAGTGTAAGCCACCACACTTGGCAAAAATTAGTTTCTTTAAAACAAAAACATTACAGGTTATCTGGTACCATGGTAGCTTCTTTAACACTAGGTTCACTTAGAACAAAGCTTAGGAACAAAGTCAGACTTTCACAAAGAGCTTGTGTGGCAATGGGGTATTTTTTGCAAATTCCATTGGTGGGGTCAAGATGTGAGTTTAGAAGGAACTCTTAGCCTGACTCTTCTGGCCATGGAAAAAGATGGTTGCTTCTAAATGCTGACCTGGTGATTTTACACTGTCACATCTCAAATTGTGGTCATCTTTTATACATTATTAACAACAAAAGGGAAAAATTGAGTTGACTTTAAGAGGAAGTGGAAAATAACGAGATCACATCTGTACTCTACAGGCTCTCCACAGAGGTCAGACTGAGGTGGTAAAATTGTTGTGCACTAAATTAGGGCATTAACGTTTCATGGAAACTGAAGCTATATCTAAATAGCTGATGGCCTGCTTTCTAGATCTCCTATATACCTGCTTCTCAAATTCAGTCTGTTTTAAAAAATTGCCCTTTGAGGTTGGAACCAGCGAAATAAGGCTGAAAACAGAATAAGCCATTATTGAAAAAATTAGGAACTTGGAAGCAGATACTCATAATCTAAATCCTCTGAAGCTAAAGTTTGATCCACAATAGCAAAGCATTATCATTTTAGTGATTGTACCTTAGTTGTTTCCTGGCAGGTGATAAATTTGGGATCACTTTCTTCTTACAGTGTGCTCTGATAGTCTTTAAAACAAACCAGAGCTCTAAATTGTAATGCCATTGGTAATTTAACTCTGATTTGTCTCTATGCCTGTCTCCTGGTGTTCTGTAAAATTCTACACGTCATTTCAGGTATCACTATCCAGAAGACGTTACTTTTGCCTTTGATGCACTTTAAAATGTGAAGTCTCTTGTGAAGCTCTTTGGTTATTTTCTCCTTTGCTGCTGAAATAAATTCAGGTTGATGATTTTCTTGTAGGATATGTTGTGTGATCTAGACATTGCAAACCCAAGTCTTTGATTTTTTTTTCCCTACAGATTGCCTGTTTCTTTTTTATTTTAATTTTTATTAGTTATTATTATTTTTGAGATGGAGTCTCACTCTGTCACCCAGGCTGGAGTGCAGAGGTGTGATAGCTCACTGCAACCTCCACCTCCCGGGTTCTTGTGCCTCAGCCACCCAGGTAGCTGGGATTACAGGCACGTACCACCACTCTCAGCTAATTTTTTTGTATTTTTAGTAGGGATGGGATTTCTCCATGTTGGCCAGGCTGATCTCAAACTCCTGACCTTAAGTGATCTTCCTGCCTTGGTCTCTGAAAGTGTTGGGATTACAGGTGTGAGCCACTGTGCCTGGCCAGTTATTAATTTTTTTAAAGAGATGGGGTCTCACTATCTTGCCCAGGCTGGAGTGCAGTGGCTCTTTACAGGCACTGTTGTAGTGCACTGCAGCCTTGAACTCCTGGGCTCAAGTGATCCTCCTGAGAGGCTGGAATTACAGGCACACACCACTGTGTCCAACAGATTGCCCATTTGTGATCTGTGTAAATATCTCTCACTTCCTGCAGTATCTCTGCTCAAGAATGTAAAGAGATGGATAATATTTTTAGATTTGTTGAAACAAAGTAAAGTTCTGCTCAAATGAGAATGACACTAACTAAATGAAAAGGCCGGTTATAATTCTGTAATTTTGTGCCTGCAATGTGTGTGTTATTGTACACTTGAATCGGCCCTGTGCATTGTGGCGAGGTGCATATTGCATGGTTGTATTGAAAAGGTGCTTGGGCCGGGCGTGGTGGCTCACACCTGTAATCCCAGCAATTTGGGAGGCTGAGGCAGCTGGATTACCTGAGGTTAGGAGTTCAAGACCAGCCTGGCCAACATGGTGAAACCCTGTTTCTAGTAAAAAATACAAAAAATTAGCTGGGTGTGGTGGTGGGTGCCTGTAATACCAGCTACTAGGGAGGCTAAGGCAGGGAGAATTGCTTAAACCTGGGAGGCAGAGGTTGCAGTGAGCTGAGATTGTGCCACTGCACTCCAGCCTGAGTGTATCACAAAAAAAAAAAAAAAAGGTTTTTGCCCTCTCTCTGTGCCTGCTGCTCCCTGTTGAGTCCTATAGGCCTGAGCTGCCAGGGGGTACTGTGGGCTGAGACTGGACATTGCAACCGACTGCAAGGCACCGTGGGACCCAGGTTGTGGATGGACTGTCTCTCGGGCTTTCTTCTTTCCATTCATCTTCCTCCTCTAACTCCCCTCTGTATCCAGTATCCTTGCTCTCCATACACCTGCTTCATTCTTTTTCCTTCAGTAGATTTTTCTGCTTCTTGACTTACAAACCCTACTTCTAGCCCCTTTCAGATATTGAAACTAGCAACTTTCAGGCTTTGTACCAAAGTCTCAGAGATTCTCATTGACTCGGATGCCATCCATCTCTAGTCCAAAGAACAATGTCAAGGACATGAACATGTGGAACAAAAGTGTCTGCTGTGGACACCTTTGGGGAGAAATAGTTTTCAGTGATGAGGGTTGTAGTGAGTTGGGCAGATATCCCAAAAATATCTGCCAAAAACTATAGACACTTCTGGTTGCAGTGACTTATTCCTTCCTTCATTCAGCAAATACTGATTGAACACCGACTGTATGTCTGGATCTATTCTAGGTTTTGGGGGTGGAGCAGTGAACAAATCAGTCTTTATCTTTATAGAGTGTACAGTCAAGTGGGAGAGACAGGCAGTAAACAAAGAAACAGTTCAATATTCAATCTGTGAGATGGTGATAAGTGCTACAGAGAAAACAAACTAGTGTAAGATAAAAAGGGTGTTTTGATAGGCCTTTACTATTTAGGTCTCTTTGATAAGGTGGCATTTGAACAAAGCTCTGAAGGAAATAATGGAGCCAACCATGCATATAACCTCAGGGAGAACATTCTAGGTAGAGGGAACAGCAAGTGCAAAGGCCCTGAAGTGGGGGTTTGTTTACCTTGTTGCACAATCTGCACACAGGCCAGTACAATTGGAATGGATGGGAAATGTAAAAGAGAGAAGTTGAAAAGGCCAGGTGCAGTGGCTCATGCCTACAATCCCAGCATTTTGGGAGGCTGAAGTGGGAGGAATTTGAGATCAGCCTGGGCAACAGAACCAGACCTCGGGCTAATTTTTGTATTTTTAGTAGAGACAGGGTTTCACCATATTGGCCAGGCTGATCTCAAACTCCTGACCTCAGGTGATCCTCCTGCCTCAGCCTCCCAAAGTGCTAGGATTACAGGTGTGAGCCATGGCCCCCAGCCGTATCTTTGTCTTAAAAAGTAATCTCTGTGCTTGGTAGGCCAAGAATTTAAAATATAAAAAATTTAAGAAAGAAAAAAAATAAGTAAAGTAACTATACAGGTTGGTCTGGCCGTAATGGTGAGTGTCATTATTTTTCTTCCCTAGGTATTTTGGCTCTGTTGCTCAGAGCAGTGCAGGCGAAATGGTCATTAGGGCATCGTCATGGTGCCTGGGGATGCCTGGCTCAGCCAGTTTATTTTCTGTCTGCCTCTCTCCTTGGTCCTTTTCCTCCACTTTCATTCATGAAATTCTAGTCAAGAGCTGGGTCCAGTGGTTTTCAATCCAAGGGCTTTGGAAGCCTCTGGGGTCTATTTTGGTCATTGCAGTCACTGGGCTGCTGCTCCTGGCATTTAGGTTGGCAGGGGTCTGGGCTGGGAAGCAGGAATGTTCAGTGGCCATAAATGTAAGGGTTGGTCTTACATTTACATAAGGGAGACAATGAAAACTTAACTCCTCCACAGTAGTGGAGTAGTGCCGTTGGGTACTCACAGTCAGTAGTGCCGTTGGGTACTCACATGTACAACATGGATCAGGACATTGACTTTCTGTGGATACCTTTTAATAGTTTATTAGATGTGTTAGGCTGTTTTGCACTGCTCTAAAGGAATATCTGAGTCTAGGTAATTTATAAAGACAAGAGGTTTAATTGGCTCATGGTTCTGAAGGCTGTACAAGCATGGCTCCAGCATCTGCTTCTGGTGAGGGCCTCAGGAAGCTTCCGGTCATAGTGGAAGGCAAAAGGAGGGCAGACGATCACATGGCCGGAGTGGTGGCAAGGGTGGGGTGGGAGCCACGCTCTTTTTTTAATTTTATTTTAATTTGAGACAGTGTCTCACTCTTTTGCCCAGCCTGGAGTGCAGTGGCGTGATCTCAGCTCACTGCAGCCTCTGCCTCCCAGGTTCAAGCAATTCTCCTGCCTCAGCCTCCTGAGTAGTTGGGACTACAGGCGCGCATCACAATGCCCAGCTGATTTTTGTATTTTTAGCAGAGACAGGGTTTCACCATGTTGGCCAGGCTGGTCTCGGACTCCTGATCTCAAGTAATCCGCCTGCCTCGGCCTCCCAAAGTGCTGGGATTACAGGCATGAGCCACTGCGCACGGCCACCACACTGTTTTAAACAACCAGATTGCACGTGAACTTAGAGTGAGAACTCACTGTGAGGATGGCACCAAAACATTCATGAAGGATCCACCACCTTCCTTTAGGCCCCACCTCCAACACTGGAGGTCATATTTCAACTTGAGATTTGGAGGGGACAGACATCCAAACCGTATCATTAAATTTAATAGTTTTATGCAGTTTTTTTGGCTCTAGATCTGTTTAGACTCCTGCAGTCAGGTGTCTGTAACTAGCCTCTGGTCCTTTTTGAGAGTTCACAGTTTGGTGCAAACCCTTTGGATGTATTATTTGGGAAAATGGGATATCTGGCAGCCTGTGTCCCTGCTTTACATTATCCTTTTTGCTGCCTGCCCCAAGCCTCCTCATTAGCATCCCTGCCAAGGCCAGTGGAGAAGGATGGAGATGCGGTGACATTCAGCTTGACAGGTCATTAGCAGCTTTTGTGCCCTAGGGACTGCTGGTGGGAGGGAGGTTGTGGAAGATAAACCCTGACAGGAATGTATTCTCCTCGAGGGCAGGGTTTATTTGATATTTTTCTGGAGCTTAGAACCATAAGCCTGGTGCTGGGGAGGAAGCGCCCTTAGCATTTGGTAGCCTCTGTGGGCAGAGCATGGAAAGTCACAACTTCTGAATTGTTTGTATTTTCAGTCTCACTCTAGATGGATGGCATCTTCTGCTATGGGAAATGAAATATGTTTAGGCAACTTGAGTCCCAGGTGCAGATGAGGCTGGGCTAATTGGTGCACTAGGGAAGGAGCCGGGGGAGAGATGTGCTGTTAGCTATTATCAATCTGTGACAACTGTCAGCTGCTGGCAGTTAGCACCCACCTGAGCCTGGGATGCAGGGGTGCCTCTCCTGTCCTCTGTGGAAGCCTCTGGACCCAGCAGCCATCTTGACTGTGCACTGTTCAAGCCCCAAGTCCGCCTGGAAGAGGTGATTGAGAACTTACTGCAGGATAAGGAAAGCGCAGGACAGGTGCAGTGGCTCACGCCTGTAATCTCAGTGCTTTGGGAGGCTGAGGCCGGAGGAGGGCTGGAGTCCTTGAGTGCGAGACCAGCCTGGGCAACATAGTGAGACCCTGTCTTTACAAAAAGGAAAAGAATTAGCCAGATGTGGTGGTGCGTGCCTGTAGTCCCAGCCACTCAAGAGGCTGAGGTGCGAGGATCACTTGAGCCCAGGAGTTTGAGGTTACAGTGAGCTATGATCATACCACTGCATTCCAGCCTGGGTGAGAGAGCATGACTCTGTCCCAACAACAAAAAAAAAGATTAAGGGAAGCCTCTGGCAGACCTGATGATGGGTGGCCCAGCCAAAATGAGTATTGATGAGGATTTCCCTGGTCTGGAACTCTGAATTTAGTCTGGCAAAGTATTCCCTTTGTGTTGTGAGATGATTCTTGGTGTTACCCCATCACGGTAGGTAAGATGAATTAGCAAATGAGAAAGGCTTTCTCTTTTTCATCCTTATCTAGTCCGTAGATGAAGCCTGAAGAAGGTCTCCATATGGTAGTAGTAAGTGTTTAACATCTACCTCTAACACTTGCCTGTGTCTTTTTTTTTTTGCAAAGCCTCAGGAATGCCCCAGTATCTAGGTAGAATTTGATAATATTTCATTTTTGTTATATTCCCTTTTCTGTTTACCTTCTATATACAGCAAAATGAAAAAATTTTTAAAATTTGTGCAAGTAAGGGCAATTTCTTTTTTCTTTTTCTTTTTTTTTGAGACAGGGTCTTGCTCTGGCACCCAGGCTGGAGTGCAGTGACACAATCTCGGCTCACTGCAACCTCTGCTTCCTGGGTTTAAGCGATTCTCCTGCCTCAGGCTTCCAAGTAGCTGGGATTACAGGTGCCTGCCACCACTCCCAGCTAATTTTCATATTTTTAGTAGAGACCAGGTTTTGCCATGTTGACTGGGCTGGTCTTGAACTCCTGACCTCAGGTGATCCATCCACCTTGGCCTCCCAAAGTGCTGGGATTATAGGCTTGAGCCACTGGGCCTGGCTGAGGCAGTTTCTTTTTGAAATATATTTTGTGAAGGAGAAAAAGAGGAGTTCAGTTTAAAGAAACAAATGACATAAGAGGTGGTATGCAGAGATGCCAAAGCATCTTGAAGGTGCTTTTTTTTTTGGAAACAGAGTCTTGCTTCATTGCCCAGTCTGGTCTGCAGTGGTGCAATCATGGTTCCCTGCAGCCTTGACCTTCTGGGCTCAAGTAATCCTCCCACCTCAGCCTCTCAAGTAGCTGGGACTACAGATGCATGCCACTATGTCTGGCTAATCTTTAAATTTTTTGTAGAAGCCAGCTCTCACCATATTGCCCAGGCTGGTCTTGACCTCCTGTCCTCGAGCAAAAATACCGATTTTGATTAAGTCTGGGGTAGGACCTGGGGCTGGGATTCTAACCAGCTCCCAGGTGGTGCTAATGCTGCTGGTCTACAGACCACACGTGGAGTAGCCAGTGTAGAGTTCATGTAGCAATAGTGATGTCATAGAAATAGCCAGTATCTGTATACTTGCTTTGTTGTATGTCACGCACTGTATAGTGATGTACATGCATCTCATTTGACCCTCACCCCGCCCCTTTGGGGGTAGAAAGGATTGTGCTCATTTCACACTCAAGGAAACTGAGGCACAGACAGGCAAAGTAGCTTGGCGAAACAGAAAGGAACTTAGAGGCAGGCCCTGATTAGCTCAGAGACTAGAAGGCCTTGTGCGTCATCCTGAACAGCTTGGACTTGATCTTGAAGGTGGAGGGAGAAATTGAAGGGTAATTAAACAGGAACTGTAGGAAATTCACCTTGCATAGTGATTGCTTTGGCCACGTGTGCCCTGCCACCGCCCCCCCACCTCAGTGAAGTGTCATGCGAAGTTGGGTTCGTAAATGAAGGCCCGAATGCTTTCCTGACAAGTTTGTTTTAAATCAAGCTGCTAATTAGTCCCAGTCCCCCTCCCCCGGTATGTATTTTTTTGTTGATGTCGTTTCACTTCATTTAGTTGAAGTGATTGATTCAGTTCAGTGTTTGAACTTCTTTTTGAACCTCACCTTAATAACCTGTCTAAACATCAAGGTTAAACCTTCTTGCTAACACAGCAGTATTGCTTGGTAAGACTGGCTCACAGTCCAAGGAAATGCTTGCCCAGAGAGGGCAAACTGCCTTAACTCCTTAACCTGAGCTCATTAAAAAAAATTCAAATGACTGATTCCTTGTCACAGTTCTACCTACATTGTTTTTATTTTTGTCCAGGTTTCAGCTAGTTAAATGCTTTTGTGATGAGCTTATGTCCAGGCTGAAGGTTGCATTTTGAAACTGAGCGTCAAATACCAATTTAAAGTCCAGACCTTTACACTTGTGAAATTCAGATAAATGAAATGGAAATAAAACAGGGCTGCTGTGTTGTGAAATATGACTGTGTTTTTCCTTGTAGGACTCTTTGAGGGTAGCCATTTTGGCATTTTATATATAAATTTTCTTTTCTTAGCCTACCTTTTACTTTCTTGATTTGCCTATTTGTGATTTCCCATTAAACACTAGGCTTTTTGTAAACCAATTATCCCTTGAAATTGACTTTTTTTTTTTTTGAGACAGGATCTTGTTTTGCCACACAGGCTGGAGTGCCGTGGCTCCATCATATGATAAACAGAAAGAGAGAGAGAGAGAGAGAGAGAGAGAGAGAGAGAGACCCTGTCTTATTTAAAACAAAAAAAGAAGAAGAAAAAAAGAATATAGATCACAGCTGTTATTTGTATATGCTACGCCAATCCTTGTTGGGTTTCATTCTTTATAATTGTTATTTTTAAAGATTTTTCTTATGAATATTCTATTGTTTCATTGTAGAAAATTTAAGGGAGAACACAGTGGGAAAAAAAAAACAAGAAAAGGACTTCATAATCCTGCTACCCTGGGAGAAAAAAAAAATCACCATTACCTATTTGGTTCTTCTCCCACTTTTTTTTTTTTCGAGATGGAGTCTCCCTTTGTTACCCAGGCTGGAGGGCAGGGACGTGATCTTGGCTCTCTGCAACCTCTGCCTCCTGGGTTCAAGCGATTCTCGTGCCTCAGCCTCCCGAGTATCTGGGATTACAGGGGTGTGCCATCACACCTGGCTAATTTTTGTATTTTTAGTAGAGACGGGGTTTTGTCATGTTGGCCAGGCTGGTTTGTTGGCCATGTCTGGTTTTTTGTCATATTGGCCAGTCTGTTTGTCATGTCAGGCTGACATGTTTTGTCATGTTGGCCAGGCTGGTCTTTAACTCCTGACTTCAGGTAATCCTGAAGTGCTAGGATTATAGGCGTGAGCCATTGCACCTGGCCTTCTGCCTTTTTTTTAAAGAAAAAAAATTAAAACATTTTTTTCTTTTTAAGATAGCGTCTCATTTTGTTGCCCAGGCTGGTCTTGAACTCCTGGGCTCAAGTGATCCTCCAGCCTCAGCCTCTGGAGTAGCTGGGACTACAGATGCACATCATGGTGTCCTTATGCCATTTCTTTTGTACGTAGGTGAATGCAAGTGTATGATTACATCATATGCTATTTTGGAGGTTTGACTTTCTTTTCACTTTCATCATCTTTCCAAGGTGTTATTTTCCTAGTACATCTTTTTAAATGGACATAGAACATTCTTTTGTATGAACAAACAATAGTTTTATTTAGGCGGTCCTTTCCTGTTGGACATTTATATTATTTTCAGCATTTCTCCACAGTTGTTGCAGCATTCAGATGAACCTTCTTTTTTTTTTTTTTTGAGACGGAGTCTCGCTCTTTCGCCCAGGCTGGAGTGCAGTGGCACAATCTCTCCTCAAGTGATTCCTGTGTCACCCTCCCACGTAGCTGGGATTACAGGTGCCCATGTCTGGCTAATTTTTGTGTTTTTGGTAGAGCTGTGGTTTTACCATGTTGGCCAGGCTGGTTTCGAACTCCTGCCCTGAAGTGATCTGCCCACCTCAGCCTCCCAAAGTGTGGGGATTACAGGTGTAAGCCATCACGCCTGACCCAGATGAACATTCTTGTAGCTATCGCACACAATTCTGAACATTTCCTAGGATGAATTCCTTAAAGAAGTAATGCTGATCCAGGCTTTTTTCTTTTTCTGTGACTCTTTGACACGTAATAATATTGACTTTTCTTTCTTTCCAGACACTACAACAACAGGAGTGCAAACTTCTCTACAGCCGAAAAGAGGGTCAAAGGCAAGAAAACAAAAACAAAAATAGATATAAAAACATCCTGCCCTGTAAGTATCAATATTCCGCTCAGTAATAGTCACTCTTGGAGATTTTGATTCCTAGCACCTCTGTACCTTTCCTCAGGGTCGTGTGCTCTTGTTAGCACATCGGAGGCCTTAGCTTCTTTAATTGCAAGCAGTTTCCAAAATAATCAACCATGGTGGGTGTTGATGACTTCATTCACTGAGCTCCCGTGATGCTGATTACTGAGTAAAGTTGCCACTAGGTGGCTTTGTCTGTGGTTGGTTCCTTCTGTTAATTAATTTTCTGTCTGCCCAAGATAGATCATCTCAAGGCTTGGGATCTCTCAGTGTCAGGGACCTTAGGGTGCCAGATTTGTGTCTTGACTCCTCCTCACTGGGCCTGTGAGTCCTGGGTAAGGCCTGCCTCCTTTCTGGGACTCAGTTCCCTTAAGTGGGAAACAGACAAACACCTCCTGAGGGCTCCTAGAACTGTTCTGCTTGCTGATCCCCTGAGCTCAAGTTACTGGAGAAAGGGTATATACCTAAACTGCTCAGAAGAAGACTTTGTGGGCCGGGCGCAGTGGCTCACACCTGTAATCCCAGCACTTTCGGAGGCCGAGGCAAGCGGATCACCTCTGATCAGGAGTTCAAGACCAGCCTGGCCAACATGGTGAAACCCCATCTCTACTAAAAATACAAAAATTAGCCATATGTGGTGGTGTGCGCCTGTAATCCCAGCTACTCGGGAGGCTGAGGCGGGAAATTGGTTGAACCCAGGAGATGGAGGTTGCAGTGAGCCGAGATGTGCCATTGCACTCCAGCCTGGGTGACAAGAGCAAAACTCCGTCTCAAAAAAAAAAAAGGAAGACTTTGTGAATATTCGCAAAGCTGTAAAGCTGTACCTTTCAATTTTTTTTTGAGACATAGTCTCACTCTGTTGCTCAGGGTGCAGTCACAGCTCACTGTAGCCTCAACCTCCTGGGCTCAAGCGATTCTCCCACCTCAGCCTCCTGATTAGCTGGGACAATAGGCAGGCACCAGTACACCTGGTTGATTTTACAGTTTTTCTGTAGGCCGGCGCAGTGGCTTACGCCTGTAATCCCAGCACCCTGGGAGGCCGAGGTGGGCGGATCACCTGAGGTTAGGAGTTCGAGAGTAGCCTGGCCAACATGGTGAAACCCCATCTCTATTAAAAATTACAAAAATTAGCTGGGCGTGGTGGTGGATGCCTGTAATCCCAGCTACTTGGGAGGCTGAGGCTGAGGCAGGAGAATCGCTTGAACCTGGGAGGCGGAGGTTGCAATGAGCCGGAGGTGCTATGTGCACCACTGCACTCCAGGCTGGGCGACAGAGTGAGACTCTGTCTCAAAACAAAAAACGATTTAAAAAATAATAAAATTTTTTCTAGGGCGGGGTCTCCCTATGTTGCCCAGGCTGGTCTTGAACTCCTGGGCTCAAGTAGTCCTCCTGCCTCAGCCTCCCAAACTGTTGGGATTACCAGTGCAAGCCATTGTGCCTGGCTGTACCTTCTGTAACACCCAAATGCCACCTGGCAAAGCCCAAGTTGAATCATGAGGAAAAAAGGCCTGGAAGGATGTAGACCTTCCTTTTTTCTACTTATTTATTTATTTATTTTTGAGATAGGGTCTTACTCTGTTGCCCAGGCTGGAGTGCAGTGGCATGATCATGGGTCACTGCAGCCTCAACCTCCCGGGCTCAAGTGGTCCTTCCCACCCCAGCCTGCAATGTAGCTGGGACTACAGGCATGTGCTACCATGCCCAGCTAATTTTTGTATTTTTTGTAATTATTTTTTTTGTAGAGACAGGGTTTCGTCATGTTGCCTAGGCTGGTCTCGAATTCCTGGGCTCAAACGATCTGCCTGCATCGGCCTCCCAAAGTGTTGGGATTACAGGTGTGAACCACTGTGTCTGGCTATATCTTCTGTAACACCCAAATGCCACCAGGCAAAGCCCAAGTTGAACCAGGAGGGAAAAAGGCCTGGCAGGATGTAGGCCTTGCATGAGGATCTCAGAAACTGCACTAAACCAGTCACAGTTCCTCTCTCCCGAGGTCTAACTCTATGCTGAACTCTTTGCATTTTTATCTCACTTAATCCATATCACATGCACAGGAAGGAAGCATTCGTAGTATCCTGGTTTCCTAGACCATTTTAGCAAGGTTATAAGTGAAGGGGAGTGGGTGGGAGAACTGGCACTAGAGCCCCCAAAGTCACTGTTCTTAGCACCACTCTAATGCATGGGGTTCTCCATTGATGTGCTATGCAAGGCAGTGCACTGAGGAGAAAGGAAGGAACATTTACAACTTCTCTTTATTTATATCCTGTCCCTAAAAAAAAAAGAAAAAGAAAAATTTGTCTGAGGCCTAGATTGATTGCAGGGAGTGCATAATGTTTTATTGATTGATTGATTGATTGTATATAGAGATGGGGGGTCTCACTATATTGCCCAGGCTGATCTCGAACTCCTAGGCTCAAGCAATCCTCCTGCTTTGGCTTCCCAAAGTGCTGGGATTACAGGCATGAGCGACTGCACCTGGCTATGCATACTATATTTATCCAACTTACAAATAAGGCTTGCTTGCCTGTAGTGCATATGTGTATACATTTCAGCATAGAAAAACTGTGTGATTGGGGGTTGTGATCAAATTTGGAGAGCATTGCTCTCATGTCTTATCAGGTCAGAGTCATTTTGTCAAATCTTGTAAACCATTCTTTGTGTGTGTCTATGCATGAAACATAGTCTTTCTCTTTCTGCATGCATATGTACATATACATGGTATATATGTATATCATATCTACATGGATATTGTAATGTATATGTATGAGGATGGGGGAAAGTGGAGACATTTGTAATACTGAGAAAAGGCAGTGAGGAATTTGCAGAGAAGCAGTTTGAGCTGTAGCATGGTACTAGTGACCTTGAGGAAGCCTTATCCTTTTTTTTTGGAATTTATTTTTTCAATTTTTAGAAATAGACAAGAGTTTCTCTATGTTGCCCAGGCTGGTCTTGACCTCCTGGGCCCAAACTATCCTCCTGCCTTGGCTTCCCAAAGTGCCAGGATTACAGGTGTGGACCACCATGCCTGGCCACCTTGTCCTTTCTATGTCTAAGTTGTGACATCTGCTCAGGGGTCAGGTGGTATTAAATGGTATAAAATGTATGGGAAAGTGAAGGGATCAATGGTATGCAGTATCTAAATAGAATATCGCTTTTTCCTCCCTTAAAGGTCTCATTCAGATGTTTCCTCTGATGAACATCTCATTTCCTTAAAGATGAGGAGTCTGAAGCAAAAAAGACATTATTCTTTTAAGACACATGGCTGTCTTACTAATTCCCATTGCAAAATATGTTGTTTAGGTAGAGCACTCAGATTTTTATACGAATAATAGACTTTTGTACAGAATTTGGACAGTTGATACTATCAGAGCCTTGTGATATTCCACTGCATTATGCTTCACTAAAAAATACCTGGCTGGGTGCGGTGGCTCACAACTGTAATCCCAGCACTTTGGGAGGCTGAGGTGGGCAGATCACCTGAGGTCAGGAGTTCAAGATCAGCCTGGCTAACATGGCAAAACCCCATCTCTACTAAAAATACAAAAATTAGCCAGATGTGGTGGCACGCTCCTGTAATCCCAGTTACTCAGGAGGCTGAGGTATGAGAATTGCTTGAGCCCAGGAGGCAGAGGTTGCAGAGAGCCGAGATAGTGCTATTGCACTCCAACCTGGGTGACAGAGGAAAACCCTGTCTCAAAAAATAAATTTAAAACAACAACAACAACAACAACAAAAACCCCTCTTTATTATGGAAATTTTCAAATATATTCAAGAGCATAAAGAACCCACATGTACCCATCACCCAGCTTCAACAATTATCAACTCATGCCCAGTCTTGGTTTCATCTATACTCTGATCCACATCTCCTCTCTCCTTGAATTATTTTGAAGCCCATCTCAGACATCATGTCATATATGTATACTTCAATCTTCTTTTTTTTTAAAACTCCCCCTCCCCTTTTCTTTTTTCTTGAGACTGTGTCTCACTCTGTCATCCAGGCTGGAGTGATCTTGGCTCACTGCAATGTCCGCCTCTCGGGTTCAAGCGATTTTTGTACCTCAGCCTCCCTAGTAGCTAGGATTACAGATGTGGACCAACATGCCTGGCTAATTTTTGTATTTTTAATAGAGACAGGGTTTTGTCATGTTGGCCAGGCTGGTCTTGACCTCCTGACCTCATATGATCCACCTGCCTTGGCCTCCCAAAGTGCTGAAATTATAGGCCACTGCGCCCAGCCCAAAATTTCTTGGTTTGAAATAATTTTGGAACTCATAAGAAGTTACACATATAGTAGAGAGAATTTTCTTGTACCTTCTCTGAGCTTCCTATATACCCAATGATAACATCCTATATACCCATAGTATATGATCAAAACTAGGAAATTGTGAAGATGGCATTTTGAGACATCAGGCAGTGTTCACGTTACTGTTTTGCTTACCTGGGCTTTAATTTTTATGTGTTTTTTTTTCAATCATTGAATGAACAAAACTTGGACTAGGCTGGGGAGTAACTGATTTGAACTGTTTTTTCCTGAAGCAGTCCAGGACTTATGTGACCGTGGTCTCTTTTTCTTCTAGTTGATCATACCAGGGTTGTCCTACACGATGGTGATCCCAATGAGCCTGTTTCAGATTACATCAATGCAAATATCATCATGGTAAGCTTTGCTTTTCACAGTGTTTTCTGACCATACATTTCTAGCCTATTTTTGTATTTTAAATCCTTCCTCATGTCCTGAAAGTAACTTTAAGGTGTTTGAAGGATTTTCTTCCTAAATTTCTAGCCTGAATTTGAAACCAAGTGCAACAATTCAAAGCCCAAAAAGAGTTACATTGCCACACAAGGCTGCCTGCAAAACACGGTGAATGACTTTTGGCGGATGGTGTTCCAAGAAAACTCCCGAGTGATTGTCATGACAACGAAAGAAGTGGAGAGAGGAAAGGTAAATCACAGAAACTTCTTTTCTGCTAAACTGTTTTTAAAGTATCAGACATGTCAGATTGGCCATGTTTAGGAATTGAATAAATGAATTAAGCTTACTGTAACTGATTCTCTGGAAAAAAGGGACTAGGAGAAATTTGATTATGTTATTCCTTGGTGTAGTTTTCTTTATGTTTCTTCTGCTTGGGATTTGTTGAGCTTCTTGGCTCCATGGATTTGTAGTTTTCCTTAAATTTGGATAATGTTCAGTCTTAGTTTCTTCAGATACATATCCTGGGCTGGGCATGGTGGCTCATGCCTGTAGTCCCAGCACTGTGGGGTGTTGAGGTGGGCGGATCACTTGAGGTCAGGAGTTTGAGACCAGCCTGGGCAATGTAGTAAGACCCCATCTCTTAAAAAAAAAAAATGTACCCTGCACAACCTTGTCCTAGGACAGCAGTCATACGTGTATTAGACTACTTGAAGTTGTCTCATAGCCCACTGATACTTGGTTTATTTTATTCAGTTTTTTCTCCCCGTGTTTCATTTCGAATAGCTTCTTTTGCTATGTCTCCAAGTTAATCTTCTGCAATATGTCATCCGCTCTTAATCCTATCCAGAGTATTTTTCATCACAGACATTGTATTTTTCATCTCTAGAAGTGTTAATGTCATCTATAGCTTTCCTTTTAACATGTGTAGCATTTTCCTTACCTTTTGAATGTATGGAGTATTTCTGTTGTTGTTTTTTGTTTTGTAGAGACAGGGTCTCGGTCTGTTGCCCAGGCCGGAGTGCAGTGGCATGATCTCAGCTCACTGCAGCCTCTGCCTCCCGGTTCAAATGATTCTCATGCCTCAGCCTCCCAAGTAGCTGGGACTACAGGTGCGTGCCACCACGCCTGGCTAATTTTTGTATTTTTAGTAGAGATGGGGTTTTGCCATGTTGGCCAGGCTGGTTTTGGAACCCCTGAGCTTAGGTGATCCACCTTCCTTGACCTCCCAAAGTGTTGGGATTATAGGTGTGAGCCACCATGCCTGGCCATGTTGTCTGTTTTAATTAACTCTGCCTAACTGTCCTCCCAAATGGTTGCTGCAGTGCTCACTCCCACCAGCAGCACCTGCCTAGGACTCATTACTCCATACTCTTCAAGACACTTCAGATTAAAAAAATAAATTGTAACACCCCACACCTACAGAAGAGCGGACAGATCTTATTGAGTGACAGCCCTCTGTGTTATCTCAAAGTGAGCCCACCATGGTGGTTTTTTTTTTAAATATGGAAAAGTTCTGTGTTTTTGTTTGTGTTCTAGTGAAAGTTCTTTTTTAGATATCCTTTAATTGGTTTATATAAGATTTTATGTGGAATGTAGCAGTCATACCTATAAATTAAACCTAAGGCAGATGGAGAACTTTGGAGTTGAGCCTTCCTACTGTAATTTTCATATTGGATGTGAAGGGCAGTGTGATTTTCATAAGACTTTCATTGTTGTACTCCTAGTTGGTATACTTCTGAATACCTTTGAGGCCAGTTCTGGTCATCGTGAAACAAAGGTTTCCTTCAGCAAATGCCTGTGGTAACATTAGGTGTTCTTGAATTAATGGACCAATGAAAACATCTTTGTAGTTTCTGCTTCAGGCAAGGGTTTTTTGCCCTAAATGTGGATAGGAAGAATGAAGCCCTTCATCCTCCTTTTTGCCTGATTATAGCTATAGGAGGTTCACCTGTTCTCAGAAGACATGAGGATTGTGAAGAGAGGGGTCTTGTGTTGCTTCAGAGGAATCAGTATCAGTCCCTTTCAGAAGCTCTCCTGGATAGACAGGCATTAGGGCCAAATCACTCTGCCCCACCCCTCACCACCATGTCCTACTCTCTGCTCCCTGTCTCATTCTTCCTCTTTACTTTGGTGGTGCCGAGAGGATGACATGATGGGTATTGATTCTCTCCACAGACCTTTCTGACATCCTACTTTCAGTATCCCCCCAGTGCACAGAAGACAAGCCAGACTGTGGACTGTGTTTGATTCCTGGGCTCTATTTTAAAAGACAGTGTATTAGTTCTCACATTTTAGAATTTGTTTGCCAAGGTTTCCACGGGAGTTTAGAAACTAGGGGGAGGGCTGATGTTTAAAGTTAGCTAAAATGTTCTTTTCAGGGTCATGATTTAATTTTATATTCTCTGGTGAGTTCCCTATAGTGACTGGGAGCAGTCCTCAGTCTTGATTGGCCAGTGACAGCATAGAGTACAATTAATATTAGGAGTGCTCATTTGGGGAAACTAAAATTTGCATCAAATCTGTCAGAGGTGTTTGGATCTACAAAATACCGGAGGGAAAGCTGAATTGAGAATCATAATAAATAAAAGACCACATCGTTCTTTTTTTTTTTTTTTTTTGGGACTGTATCTTGCTCTGTCACTCAGGCTGCAGTGCAGTGGCACTATCTTGGATCACTGCAGGCTCCGCCTCCCGGATTCAAGCGATTTTCCTGCCTCAGTGCCTGAGTAGCTGGGATTACAGGCGTGTGCCACTACACCTGGCTAATTTTTGTAATTTTAGTAGAGACAGGTTTCACCATGTTGGCCAGGCTGGTCTCAAACTCCTGGCCTCAAGTGATCCACCCGGCTTCCCAAAGTGCTGGGATTACAGGCGTGAGCCACTGCGCCCAACCAAGACCACATCCTTTTATTGAACGTTCCTCCTACCATGTTTTCTTTTTTCTTTCAATTAATCATTGACTCATTGACTCTCACTGTTGATGTCTGTAGCTGCTCTCTTATTTCCAGTTTTATAGCTGTAAATTTCTCTGTCTTCCTAAGATACAAGGTAAATTTCTCTTGCTGATATTGGTGGTTTTGGAAAGTGAGTGGTGTGGATGACTGCCCAGAAAACAACAGAACACAAAAGCATTCTCTGCCCAGAACACATCACCAAATAGATACAAACTCATCTCTTACTGAGTGAAATAGCTTCCTTTTTGGCAGCAAGAATGATTTTCTTGGTGCCATATTTTTCAATCCGCCTGCTCTTGAAGCCAGCAGCTATTGCAGACTTGGCATTCCCAGGCACCCAGTTAAGGGAAAGTGACGTGTAGAGGAGGTATCAGATGGGTCTGGATATAGAAAAAGCAGCTGGTTCAAAACCCCATGGGCTGCCTTTCTGTGATAGAGTTATTCACACTTGGGTTAGATAAGGCACAGAGTCCTCCTACACTGGTGCGGAAATGAAACAGACAGTCTGGCTCGTTGGGCAGCCTAGCCTCCTCCAGAATCTGTGCTTGCCTTCCCTATGGAGTGACTGGTAGATCTTAGAATTCAGACCTCAGTGGTTGCTAGCCAGCACTCTCACATTGGTTGGTCCTTCTCTCTGCATCTTTGATTCTTTAGAGATAGATAAACCAAGCACCGACTCTCCTTTGACATGTGCTTGGAACAGACACCTGCACGAGCTGCCTTTCTCCTCCCACTTCTGCCTGGTCTTCCAAACACCTGCTTTTCTTGTTTGAACTCTTCCTTTTTTTTTGAGACAGAACCTCTCTCTGTCACCCAGGCTGGAGTGCAGTGGCATGATCTCAGCTCACTGCAACCTCTGCCTCCCAGGTTCAAATAATTCTCCTGCCTCAGCCTCCCAAGTAGCTGGGATTACAGGTGCCTGCTATCACGCCTGGCTAATTTTTGTATTTTTAGTAGAGACACGGTTTCACCATTTGGCCAGGTTGGTCTCAAACCTCTGGTCTCAAGTGATCTGCCCGCCTCGGCCACCCGAACTGCTGGGATTACAGGCATGAGCCACTGCGCCCCAGCTGATTCTTTACAGATAAACAAACATTGACTCTGCTTTGACATGTGCTTGGATCAGGTAACTGCACCAGCTGCCTTTCTCCTCCCACTTCTGCCTGGTCCTCCGAATGCCTGCTTTTCTTATTTGAACTCTTCTGTCCTTTTCTGAAAACCTAACAGATGCGAAACAGGCCATTTTCCATGTTGGTGGTTATTAAGCAAGACTTGAACATTTGTTTGTTGCTTGTTTAGGCTTTTATTTCAGAGTTCACAGAATTAACTTTCTTTTTTTCTGATCTCTTCCAGAGTAAATGTGTCAAATACTGGCCTGATGAGTATGCTCTAAAAGAATATGGCGTCATGCGTGTTAGGAACGTCAAAGAAAGCGCCGCTCATGACTATACGCTAAGAGAACTTAAACTTTCAAAGGTTGGACAAGTAAGTATATTGTCGTATTCTAGAGACTTTGGGAACTGTTGATGGTGTGTAGGAATTCAGGGTCTTGCCGTTACTCATGTTTGCATACATGCATGCATTCGCTCACTCATTGATTCAGTAGCCATTTATTAGCTTCCTTCTATGTGCCAGGTACAGTTTAAGCAGTACTGGTACATTGTGAACAAGGCAGGTAGTGTTCCTGCCCTCATCGAGCCTAGGGAGATAGACAATTTAAAAACAAATAACTGGCCAGGCGCCGTGGCTCAGGCCTGTAATCCCAGCACTTTGGGAGGCTGAGGTGGGTGGATCGCTTGAGCCGGGGAGTTCGAGACCAGCCCTGGGTGGGAGACTGGGATAGGGTGACCTGAGTGGCTACAAGGTCTGTTAGGAGGCCTCCGCAGGGGCCTATGTTGATGGCCTCCTCTCCAAGTATCCACAGACTTCAGCAGTTGTTCTTTTTTGTTCCTTCCTTTGGAATGGAATATTATATAAAATGGCAGAATAAACTGGAAGAGAAGCAGTAGATGTGAGAGGTGCCGGGGGGTGAAGTCTGCAGGATGTGGGGATTGTTTGGCTTTTGGAGGAGGAAGGAGGGATTCAAGACACATTGTAGAGGTTTGAGTCTGAGCGGACAGTGGTGCTGTGGCAGACACCACAAAAGCTGGAAGGAGAACTGATGTGGGCAGTGATTTGTTTTCTTCTGGATGTGTTCAGCTGGGCATCTGAACAGTCATGTGGACATTCATCTATTCATTCAGAGATATTTGTTCAATGACCTCTTGGTTCCTGGCACCATGCTGCTTGCTGGAGATAGAGCTGGGGAACAAAACAGATGGAATCCCTGCACTCCCAAGTGTACACTATACTGGCCAGTAATCTACCAGCCCAGTAATTGCACATATAAATATATCATTATAAACTGTAATCAGGGCTAGAAAGAAAAAATGCAGGAGTTTAGGGTTCATTTGGAGGGGGAAGGGACTTTTTTTTTTTTTTTTTTGAAACAGAATCTTGTTCTGTCACCCAGACTGGAGTGCACTGGTGCATTCACGGCTCACTGCAGCCACAACCTCCTAAGCTCAAGTGATCCTCTCACCTCAGCCTCCCATGTAGCTGGGGGCTACAGGTGTGTGCCACCATGCCCACCCAATTGTTAAATTTTTTATAGAGACGGTTGTCTCATTATGTTGCCCAGGCTGGTCTTGAACTCCTGGGCTTAAGCGATCCTGCTGCCACATGCAGCCTCCCAAGGTGCTGGAATTACAGGCGTGAGCCAGCGCACCCGGCCAAGGGAGGGGAGGTTCTTAAGGCATAGGGAACAATGTGTTTGAGTCAGCAAAGGAGGTTGTGGGGGTTTGTCCTAAGTGTGGTAAGCAGCCAGAGTTGGATTTAAGTTTTTAAGAGATTCCCCTCCACCCTGTAGAGACTGGAGGGGGCAGGAGTTGTTCTAGGGATTAGGACCAATTTGGAGGTAGTGCAGCCGTCAGAGTAAAAAATAATAGGGATTGAACTAGGCCAGTGCCCAGGGTGCCTGAAAGAAGAGGACCCAGTAGAGCTGACTGGAGGCAGACATGCAGGGATTCAGTGAAGGAGTGTACCAAGGGCGAGGGTGGTGTGCAGGGTGACTGGCAATTTTCTAGCTTGAGAAAGGTCCGGGGGGATGGCAGTGGAGTTGAGGAAGCTGGGAGGATCAAGGACCTTTTTGTGAACACACAAAGTTTGAGATGCCTTGGACACATTGAAGTGGAGCGGTCAGGGAGGCAAGGGTGGAGGTGGGATGCGGAGGGGAGGTGGGATGCAGAGCGTCGTGGATGGATCAGTTTTGCTCGATAGAGGGACATGTTTTTCTGTGGCAACAGGAGGGCAAAAGGAGAAGGTGGCCACAGATGCCGGTAGATGAGCTGAGAGTGATTGTATTCCCTATCCTCTCGGAAGCTTGAGGCAAGGCCATCAACAGACAATCAGAGGGAATAAGAAGAGATAGAATATATGAAGAAAGGGAGAAAAGATGAAATCGTAATTGTGTAGCAGGGCAAGAAGTCCAGAAATTTCTGTGCTGTGCCAAGTTCCCAGTTGAGGCGGTGAACATGAAAATATACTGATACCCATTGCCTGGTTTTTCTCCAAGGACACTTGGCTCCTAGGGCACAAAACAGAAAGTACGTGGTTTGTCCAGGCCGAGGGCTTTGCATAGTTGCAGTGGATGGAGAGGAGGTCAAGGAATGGAGGCACATGGTAGAGAGAGACTGTCCCCAGAGCACGGGGACTCCTGGCCGGATGAGGGGGACAGGGGCAGGAGGAGGCAGGTGGAAAGTAGAGGGAGGGCTCAGTGGTCTGGAGGCTACAGGAAGTGACGGGGGGACCAGAAGGAGCTGGAAACCAGTGTGGTTGTGGCCCAGGGTGGGATGTTTGGATTTCTGATGTCAGAGAGGGTCCAGTCCTTCTGATGATGGGGAGGGGTGGAGGCTGAATCTATGGTAGAGATAGTGAGAGGAACTGGAACAATGTAGCTGTCAAGTGGAAATGGGAGAAAGGGCTGGGCGTGGTGGCTCACGCCTGTAATCCCAGCATATTGGGAGGCTGAGGCAAGAGGATCGTGTTAGCTCAGGAGTTCTGGGCTGCATTGAGCTGTGATTGTGCCACTGCACTCCAGCCTTGGCAACAGAGTGCCCAGTTAAAAATAAAAATAAAATAAAATAAAAAAATTAAAAAAAAAAGAAGAAGAAAAAAGAGAAAAGTGTCCTTTTACATCCCTTTTAAAAATGTCACTTAAGGCTGGGCAAAGTGGCTCATGCCTGTAATCCCTGCACTTTGGGAGGCTGAAGTGGGTGGATTACTTGAGGTCAGGAGTACAAGACCAGCCTGGCCAACATGGCGAAACTCCTTCTCTACTAAAATTAGCTGGATGTGGTACATGCCTGTAGTCCCAGCTACTCGGGAGTCGAGTCTGAGGCCCAAGAATTGCTTGAATCGGGGAGGCGTAGGTTGCAGTGAGCTGTGATCAGGTCACTGTGCACCAGCCTGGATGACAGAGTGAGACTCTGTCTCAAAAAAAAAAGTCACTTAGCTTAGATTGTCTCTACATATATAGGAAGAAGATGTAGGAATGAATGGTGCTGCTACAATTACGTCATCTGGATAGACCCAGAAACATGATACTTTTTGGTTTTCTGTAGCCTTGGTGCCATTGTTGATCTTTATTAATTATCATTATCCTCAAAATAGCCATAATGTGCTGAGTCTCTTCCTATTTGCTGGGCAGAGGCTGAGTATTTCAGCGAGCTCACTGAGTCCTTAAAATTGCATTATGATAGAGAGAAAGAGATTATTATTTGCATTTTGCAAAATGAAGAAATTGAGGTTTAGAGATACCCAAGGGCCACGTGAGTGTGAGTGCCTGGAATTGGAGCCTAAATCTAGTCATCTGATAGCAAAGCCTGTTTTCTTATCTGCTTTGCATTAAATATAAGTTTAAAATAGAACAATACTGGCCAGGCTGGGTGGCTCACGCCTGTAATCCCAGCACTTTGGGAGGTCGAGGCAGGCAGATCACCTGAGGTCAGGAGTTTGCAACCAGCCTGGCCAATATGGCGAAAGAAACCCCATCGCTACTAAAAATACAAAAATTAGCCAGGCATGGTGATGTGTGCCTGTAATCCCAGCTACTTGGGAGGCTGAGGCAGGAGAATGGCTTGAACCCGGGAGGCAGAGGTTGCAGTGAGCCAAGATCACGCCACTGCACTCCAGCCTGGGCAACAGAGTAAGACTCTGTCTTGGAAAAAAAAAAAAAAAAGAATGATACTATAGTCTGTGTTTATATGGTGGGGAAGGTTGAGTATCAAAAAAATAACAAAGAGGAATGAATGTCTTAAGTGAATGCCTGTTTCCCCATCTGCTTCCTCTTCTGCTGGGAGGAGAGACCTGGATCCCTAGAGGTTTCAGTTGCCTCCAGAGCTGAGTGCCACAGGGATGCAGGGGAATAGGGATGTTACCTGTCGCTGGTAATTCAGAGAGATGATTCAGGGTATAGTTACCTGAAAGAACAAATTGCCATGCCAGACGTCTTGGTTCTTATGACAGAGGCAAAGAGTTGCCTCCAGGATTGCCCAAAAGGAGACGAGTTCTGGGAACCTCACGAAGAGGACCTTTCAGTGGAACCTGGGGAGATTCTCTTCCTCTCCATTGGATTTAGGAAAGCTTAGAACCGGGTGATTCCTCAACCTCTTGATTTATTTAATTCTTTTCTGGTTTTTCTTGGCTCTACTCCAGGGGAATACGGAGAGAACGGTCTGGCAATACCACTTTCGGACCTGGCCGGACCACGGCGTGCCCAGCGACCCTGGGGGCGTGCTGGACTTCCTGGAGGAGGTGCACCATAAGCAGGAGAGCATCATGGATGCAGGGCCGGTCGTGGTGCACTGCAGGTGACAGCTCCTGCTGCCCCTCTAGGCCACAGCCTGTCCCTGTCTCCTAGCGCCCAGGGCTTGCTTTTACCTACCCACTCCTAGCTCTTTAACTGTAGGAAGAATTTAATATCTGTTTGAGGCATAGAGCAACTGCATTGAGGGACATTTTGATCCCAAGGCATATTTCTCCTAGACCCTACAGCACTGCCATTGGCCATGGCCATGGCAACATGCTCAGTTAAAACAGCAAAGACTAAGTCAGCATTATCTCTGAGTCCACCAGAAGTTGTGCATTAAACAACTTCATCCTGGCTCTGCAGTTTCTCCTTATTCTTCATGATGTTTGCTTTGTAGCTGTTGACTGCTTTGTAGGTATTGAGGTGGTGGGGGTGTGGTGGAAATAGGCCTGACTCTTGAGGATCCCTTAAGTCATTTTTGCTTGGTTCTCTTTTTCCTTCTTTTCTTCTACTCTTCTATGATTCATCTCTTTGATTGTGATTCTGTTCTCTCTCTCTCTCTCTCTTTTTTTTTTTTCGTTTTTGAGACAGAGTCTTGTTTTGTTGCCCAGGCTAGAGTGCAGTGGTGCCATCTTGGCTCACTGCAACCTCCGCCTCCCGGGTTCAGGCCATTCTCCTGCCTCAGCCTCCCAAGTAGCTGGGATTACAGGCATCTGACACTACGCCCGGCTAATTTTTGTATTTTAATAGAGACAAGGTTTTGTCATGTTGGCCAGGCTGGTCTCGAACCCTTGACCTCAGGTGATCCACCTGCCTTGTCCTTCCAAAGTGCTGGGATTACAGGTATGAGCTACCATGCCCGGCCCATTCTGTTCTCTTCTACCATAAATATATTTCTCCCCTAACACTATATTTGTTTGCTTCACAAGATTCCAGCTGCTTTTCCACCAAGGCCTTTGATGGAAGCTGTGCTGTGACCTCTGTAATGAGTCTGTGGGCTGCTGATTCTCCAGTTTGGGCTTCATGATTATACTGGGGAATATTGGGTTTCCTAAATCTCATTCATTTCTTGGGCAAGTAGATATATGTGAAAGTGTTTATTTGTCCAGTTGTTAAAGAAGCTACCATTTATTGAGCCAGCCTCTGAGCACAATGTTTTTTGTTTTGTTTTGTTTTTAATTTTTAAAATTATTTACTTCTTCTATTTCAATAACTTTATTATTATTATTTTTTGAGACAGAGTCTCACTCTGTCACCCAGGCTAGAGTGCAATTGAGCGATCTTAGCTCACTGCAACCTCTGCTTTCTGGGTTCAAGCAATTCTCATGTCTCAGCCTCCCGAGTAGCTGGGATTACTGGTACGTGACAACATGCCTGGCTAATTTTTGTGTTTTTAGTAGAGACGAGGTTTTGCTATGTTGGCCAGGCTGGTCTGGAACTCCTGGCCCCAAGTGATCCTCCTGCCTCGGCCTCCCAAAGTGCTGGTATTATAGGTGAGAGCCACTGCGCCCGGCCCTCTTTCAGTAATTTTGATGTATTTTTTTGTATATGATTCCTGTTTCATTCTGTCCAACCAGCACTCTGTATGGTATGTGCTGTTGTCCCCATTTCACAGATGCAGAAATTAAGGGTCAGAGAGGTTAAGGGACTTACCTCAGGCACGTTGTACTGGAGAAGCTGAACTCCAAGAGCAGGTTTGGGCTGACTCCAAAGCCCTATGCTTTTTGCCAACATATTTTCAAACATAAATAGACAATTTTATAAATAGCTCCAAAGAGTAGACATTGTTTCTGTTGATATTAATGGCTTGGTTTTGAGTCTGAAACCCCCATGAATGATTCTGTTGTCCCTGCTTTTTGTCCTTCTGCCCGCAGTGCTGGAATTGGCCGGACAGGGACGTTCATTGTGATTGATATTCTTATTGACATCATCAGAGAGAAAGGTGGGTCATCTGGTGGGCAAGAAGCGACAGTTTCTGTTTTTAGTTTATGGAAGGAAAGTGCTCACGAAAACAGTCTGGGGAAGAGAGGTTGAATGGGAAAATTCTTTCACAAAAATCTGGGCTGAAGACTTCAGTGTGTCTGCCTGAGAACAGAAGTGACACTATTTGAGCTTTTGGCATAAAATGAAGTCTAGGAGCTGCAGAACCCACTGCCATGGCCTTTTGTTGCATACACAGTGGTGGTCTCTATCCAGCCACCTGACCTTGTTTACAGTATGGGGTGATTTGTTGGCAAGTGAGGGAATCCTGACTTCTGCCACTTCGTTATTTATGTAGTCTTCTGGGATCATTGGTATTGGTCAGAAGTTCAACACTGTAGCCATTGCAACATGCTCAGTTAAAACAGCAAAGACTAAATTAGCATTGTCTCTGAGTCCACTAAAAGTTGTGCATTAAACAACTTCATCCTGGCTCTGCAGTTTCTCTTTATTCTTCATGATGTTTCCTTCGTAGGTGTTGACTGCGATATTGACGTTCCCAAAACCATCCAGATGGTGCGGTCTCAGAGGTCAGGGATGGTCCAGACAGAAGCACAGTACCGATTTATCTATATGGCGGTCCAGCATTATATTGAAACACTACAGCGCAGGATTGAAGAAGAGCAGGTACCAGCCTGAGGGCTGGCATGCGGATTCTCATTCTCTTGCTAGGCCTCTTGGATACGCTCTCCTTTTGAGCAGGAGGACAGGCTCTGATAGACAACTGTTTGATTTCGGAATGGGAAACAAACTCCCAACTAAAAGGGCCTCTGGAAACTGTCAATTATTCTCCACTTCTCAGCTCTGATTTTTCACTGCAGAGGAGCTTAGGGAAGGGCACCATCCTATCAGCCTGGCCTGCCAGATTGAAGAACTGCCATGCAGAAAGGTTCTGATGTTCTCAGGCTCATGTGGCAAGCGTAAAACTCAAAGCCTTGAAGTTTCTAGCCTGTTCCAGCCTTGATCCAGGCCATGTTTATCCTGATTCCATCCTTTAAAACGAATGCCTCACTCTTAATAGCGCACGGCAGTTTGAACCACTAATTTGGTCGAGTTGGAAACAGTGAAATTTCAATTTTAATAAGCTGTGCATAATGAAGAGGAATGTGGAATTGGAGCCTTTCCATCTGAAGCTATTCATAACAGGCACAAAGCTGAGTTAATTAGGAATATGCTGAGATGAAGGAAATGAGGAGAGCTGCTCTTTTGGGGGCTGTGCTTCTCTCCCCAACCCCTCAACCCCATTGCCATGCTGCAGATGGGGTGGTGTCTAAACATCAGTGGCGAGTGCCTGCATTACTCTGCTCGTTGCCTTCCAGAGAACTCAGCTTCTCCAAATGCTGAGCTCTTTTCAGAATGGGACCTGCCACCAGTATTTGAAAGATTTCTAGCCTAGCAGAACAGCAGCCACGTTATCAAAGTTTGGTTGGCCAAAGGAAGGTACTTGCTAATTAGTTTAGTAGGTTTTCAGTCCGCACAGACATACGGGATTGTTTTATTGTACATAGACATCTTCAGAAACAGTGTATGTATAGAAATGTAAGGTCAAAATTTGAACCTCAGTGCTTTAAATCTGAATTTGTATTAACTGATATGAAATATTTAGACGGTTACTTTATTTTATATCTGTCTTCCATTATACTTAATTTGGCTCAAGAATAGTTAGGCAAAAAGTTGCCCAAAGAGAAGGATCTCCTAGTAAATACAAAGAGAATGTAACATAGTTGCTACAAGTTGGAGCATGTTCAGGGATGTCTTTTTTTTTTTTTTTTTTTGAGAGAGAGGTCTCTCTCTGTTGCCCAGGCTGGAGTGCAGTGGTGTAATCATGGCTCACTGCAGCCTCAATCTCCCAGGCTTAAGCGATCCTCCCACCTCAGCCTCCCAAGTAGCTGGGACTATAGGCATGCGCCACCACACCTAGCTAATTTTCGCATTTTTTGTAGTGTCACAGTTTCGCCATGTTGCCCAGGCTAGTCTCGAATTCCTAGGCTCAAGCAGTGCTTCTGCCTCAGCCTCTCTGAGTAGTTAGGACTACAAATTTGTGGCTCCATGCCCGGCTAATTTTTTTATCTTTATTTTGTAGAGACAAGGTCTCACTGTGTTGCCCAGGCTAGTCTTGAACTCCTGGGCTCAAACAACCCTCCCACTTTGGGTTTCCAAAGTGCTGGGATTACAAGTGTGAGCCACTGAGCCCAGTGACCTCTGGGTTTTAAAAATGTGTAGGCTTCAATTATTTATTTTAAAAAATGAAATCCTGCAATATATAGTTTTCTGCGTTGTGTGGTTTGAATCAATCTGGGAACTGGCTTGCTGGCTGATTGTGGTAAAGTAAGAAGTACTTAATTTAGTAGAAAGTTTAAATGGCAGACATAACATTAAACCCAGCTGATTTATAAATGAAGCAAAAGAACAAAACTCATTCAGGATAATTGGTTATTCTAAAATACAGTCATTTCTAAAATTATGAAGTGTTCAGGACCTTTGGGAGTGAAAGAATTTGCTAAAGAAGGATCAGTGAAAAAAAGGAATGATGGGTGAAGAGCTGTGGAGAAGGAAGAGAAGAAACAGCACAAGGAAGGAAGAATATAAAATCAGATGTGGGAATCCAGGGGAAAGTGCAAACGAAGCAAGATTGAGAAAATTCTCAAGTTTTTATAAACAGTTCTCACACTCTGCCAGTTCCTTGGAGGTAGACTTTTTTGTTAACTTCCAACTACAGTAGTGAAAAAAAAAAAAAAACCCTCAAATTTGCAAAAGCAGTCTGTGGAATTTTCTTTACCCAGCTTTCCTGACTGTTAACTTTTTAGCACACTTAACTTTATCATTCGTTTATTCTCTCTGTTTAAAATTAAAAATGTAAATTTTAAAAAGTAAAATGTTTGTTGGTTACAAACATTTATACCCCTTTGTCTCTAAATATCATTTCATTTTAAAAAATGAATAATCTAAGCCTACACATTCTAAAATGTGTATATTTTCTAAAAATAAGGGCATTCTCTTACATAACCAATGTCACAATTATTTGATACAGTGATCAAAATCAGGAAACTAACATTGATATAACACTATTATCTAACCTACAGACCATCTTCAAATTTTGTCCTGCTAGTATCTTTTATGGGTCCAGGGTCACACAGTGCATTTGGCTATAATGTATCTTTTTTCTCTTTTTTTGAGACAGGGTCTCACTTTGTTGCCCAGGTTGGAGTGCAGTGGTGCAATTATGGCTCACGGCAGCCTTGACCTCCTTGGGCTCAGGTGATCCTCCCACCTCAGCCTCTCGAGTAGCTGGAGACCACAGGTGTGCACCACCATGCCTGGCTAAGTTTTGTATTTTTTGTAGAGATGGAGCTTCGCCGTGTTGCCCCGGCTGGCCTTGAACTCCTGGGCTCAAGTGACCCTCCCGCCTTGGCCTCCCAAAGTGCTGGGATTACAGGCGTGAGTCACCACACCTGGCCAGTTATTAGTATGTTTAGTCTCTTTAATCTGGAACAGTTTCTCAGTCATTCT
The DNA here is from genome assembly GCF_000001405.40 of Homo sapiens. Taxonomy (NCBI): domain Eukaryota; kingdom Metazoa; phylum Chordata; class Mammalia; order Primates; family Hominidae; genus Homo; species Homo sapiens. The sequence goes on from NC_000012.12 coordinate 112,492,059, forward strand.
TTATTTTTCATGACCTGGATGTTTTTGAAGAGTTTAGGCCAGCTATTTAGCAGAATGCCTTTCAGTTTGGATTTGTCCAGTGTTTTCTCTTGACTATATTCTAGTCATGCATTTTTGGCAGGACTGTCACAGAAATGTTGTTGTAGTCTTCTTAGTACATCACATCAGGTACACACTGTTGATCTGATTCATTACTAGTGGTGTTAACTTTGATCACTTGAATAAGGTGGTGTCTGTCAAATTTGTCCACCGTAAAGTTACTTGAGCAAAACGTAGCTGGGACTACAGGCGTAGCAAAAAATGTAGCAAAAAGTAGTATTTTTGCTACATTTTTTTTTTAGGAACAAAGTATTTTTCCCTTTTAAGTTAATCTCTTGTCCATAAAGTTATTATTTTTCCCTTTTAAGTTAATATCTTGTGGGTAGATACTGGAGACTGCGTAAATTACCTATTTCTCATAATACTTTTTTTTTTTTTGAGATGGAGTCTCGCACCGTCTCCCAGGCTGGAGTGCAGTGGTGCAATCTCGGGTCACTGCAAGCTCCACCTCCCGGGTTGACGCCATTCTCCTGCCTCAGCCTCCCAAGTAGTTGGGACTACAGGCGCCCGCCATCACACCTGGCTAATTTTTTGTATTTTTAGTAGAGACGGGGTCTCACCGTGTTAGCCAGGATGGTCTTGATCTCCTGACCTTGTGATCTGCCCGCCTTGGCCTCCCAAAGTGCTGGGATTACAGATGTGAGTCACTGCGCCCGGCTCTCATAATACTTTTTGCCTACTAATTTTATATTCATTGATTAAATTCTTGCCTGAAAAAATTATTACTGTGGTATTTGCCAAATGGCAATTTTCTGTTTCCATCATTGCCTTTCCCCCGCTTTTAAAAGTATAAGTGACAAAGAAAAACTGTATATAAAGTGTACACCATGATATTTTGATATATGTATACTTTGTGAAATGATTATCAAAATTGAGTTAAATAATGCATCCAACATCTCAGTTACTTTTTTTTTTTTTTGAGACAGAGTCTTGGTTTGTCACTAAGGCTGGAGTGCAGTGCCACAATCTCGGCTCATTACAACCTCCACCTCCCAGGTTCAAGTGATTCTCCTGCCTTGGCCTCCCCAGTAGCTGGGATTACAGGTGCCCACCATCACACCCGGCTAATTTTTGTATTTTTAGTAGAGGTGGGGTTTCACTACGTTGGCCAGGCTGGTCTCGAACTCCTGACCTCAAATGATCCTCCCGTCTCAGCTTTCCAAAGTGGTGGGATTACAGGCGTGAGCCACTGTGCCCGGCCACTCTTAGTAAATTTTAAGTGTACATTTTTTTTTTTTTTTTTTTGAGATGGAGTCTCACTTTGTCACCCTGGCTGGAGTGCAGTGGCATGATCTTGCCACACTGGAACCTCTGCCTCCTGGGTTCATTCAGGTGCTTCTCCCACCTCAGCCTCCCAAGTAGCTGAGACTACAGGTACCCGCCACCATGCCTGGCTAATTATTGTATTTTTAGTAGAGATGGGGGTTCACCATGTTAGCCAGGCTGGCCTCAAACTCCTGACCTCAGGTGATCTACCCACCTCGGCCTCCCAAAGTACTGAGATTACAGGCATGAGCCACCACACCCAGCCACATTACGTTAGTATTAACTATAATCACCATGCTGTACATTAGATCTCCAAAATGTATTCATCTTATGTAACTTCAAGTTTGTACCCTTTGACCAAAGTCTCCTTGTTTTCCCTACCCCCAACCCCTGGTAATCACTGCTTTAATCTCAGTTTTTATGAGTTTGACTGGTTTAGATTCCACATACAAATGAGATCAGGCAGTGATGGTTTATTTCACTTAGCATAATGTCATCCATGTTCTTGCAAATGACAGGATTTTCTTCTTTTTAAAACTAATATCCATGCTGGACACGGTGGCTCATGCCTGTAATCCCAGCACTTTGGAAGGCTGAGGAGGGTGGATCACTTGAGGTCAGGAGTTCGAGACCAGCCTGGCCAACATGGTGAAACCCCATCTCTACCAAAAATATAAAAAATTAGCTGGATGTGGTGGCGCACACCTGTGATCCCAGCTACTTGGGACACTGAGGCAGGAGGATCGCTTGAACCCGGGAGGCGGAGGTTGCAGTGAGCCAAGATGGTGCCACTGCACTTTAGCCTGGATGTTGATGTTGTTCCACTTGTTTATTTTTATTTTGTTCCCTGTGCTTTTGGTATCAAATCCTAAAAACCATTGCCATGACCATTGTCATGTTACTTTCCCCATATGCTTTCTTCTAGAACTTTTAAGGTTCATCATTCCCTTTTCTGTTTTTAGTTGCAAGCCTACTATAAGGAAGGGCTTTTCTTTCTTCCTTATTTATTTATTCATGTCTATCAGAATGGGCACCTTACTACTATTTTTGTTGTTATTGCTTGAATTGACTTGAATTTGGCTAGTGGAAACCTTTTCAGATCGGGTACTCTGTCCTTTTGATCTCTTTCCATTTTCAAGCACTTCTTTAGACTTAAGATGGTCTAGGCTCATCTTCTCCTTTCCCAGCCATTTTTCAAAGGAACCTGATTCCTTTTAGTGAAGAGCAGTATTTTGAAACCAAGATCTGGGCACTGGGTCTACTTGTTTGTACTGGTACAGTGTTCTTTGAATTGCTAATTAGCTGATCAATTACTGCTCTATTTGAGTTCCCTCTTTCTAAAACCTCACATATGTGTACAGACGGTCCCTGACTTATGATGGTTCGACTTATGATTTTTGATTTTATGATGGTTTGAGAGCAATACATCCATTCTGTTTTTCACTTTTCATTCAACACTTTATTTTAAAATAGGGATTGTGAGATGATATTGCCCACGTGTAGGCTAATGTAAGTGTTCTGAGCACGTTTAAAGTAGGCTAGGCTAAGCTGTGGTGTTTGGTAGGTTAGATATGTTAAATGCATTTTCGACTAGTGATATTTTCAACTTATGATGAGTTTATTGGGATGTATCCCCATAAAGTCGAGGAGCATTATACATATCTCTGTATAACAGAGTGAGTTCCTTATACCTTTCATCCACTTTCCCCTGAAGTTAACATTTTACCTAACCATGATACATTTATCAAAACTAAAACATTAACATCAATACATTGCTATTAACTAAACTAGAGTTTAATTGGATTTTGCCAGTTTTCCAATGAATATCCTTTTTCTGTTCCTTGATCCAATTCATGGTCACACACTGAGTTTGGTCACTTGTCACTGTAGTCTTCTCCAATCTGCGACAGCTTCTTAGGCTTTCCTTGTTTTTCATGTACTCTTGACGATTTTTAAGAGTACTGGTCAGATATCTTGTAGGATATCCCACAACTTGTGTTTAATCTTATGTTTTCTCATGATTAGACTTGAGTAATGGATTTTTGGGAAGAATACCACAGAGGTATATTGTTAAGTGTTCTCATCACTTGGAGGTAAATGTTATCAACATGGCCTGGTGATGTTAAACTTGTCAGTTTGTTTAGTTAGTATCTGCCAGATTTTTCTCACTGCATAATTACAAATCCTCCTTAACTTATGATGGGGTTACAGCCTGATAAGCCCATCATAAATTGAAAATATCATAAGTCAAAAATGCATTTAATGCATCTAAACTACTAAACATCACAGCTTAGCCTAGCCTGCCTTGAACGTATTCAGGACACTTACATTAGCCTACAGTTGGGCAAAATCATCTCATGGGAAGCCTGTTTTATAATGTGTTGCATATCTTATGTAATGTGTTGAGTACTGTACTCAGAATGAAAAACAGAAGGGTTGTATTGCTTTTGCACCATCATAAAATCAAAAAAACCATAAGGCAAACCATCATGAAGTTGGGGACTGCCTGTACTTTTTTCCTCTTTCCCTGTTCAATTCCTTGGAAGAAAGTCATTTAGTTCAGACCATACTCAAGAAAAGGGAAATAAAGCTCCATCTCTTGGAGCTTAATTGAAACTGGAATGACTAGTTTCTATATACATTATTTAGAATCCTTTTGTAAGAAAGATTTGTTCCTTCTCTCCATTTATTTATTCCATTATTTATATTGATAGAGACGCATGTACATTTATTTTATACTTTGGGTTATAATCTATTTTTCTTGCTCAAATTGTTACAGCTTTGGTCACTGGGAGGTTCTTCAGATTGGCTCCTGTGTCATTTGACATGTCCCCACCCTCTCGTTTCTGAGTACTTCTCTACTTTGGCATTACAAAAGATGTTCCAGGCTCCTCTTATATTTTTCCCTGCCGCAGCCCTAGAATCATCCATTTTTCTATGGTGCCCTGGTTCCTTTTACTTTAGATGGGGGTTTAGAAACCAATCTGGGTGTTGGGTGTGCTCATTGCTACTGGAATCACTGCTTCTAGGCCCTCTCAGCAGATAGAGCTAGAAAACATATGGCTGTATATGAATCCATGGATTCATATATATCTATAATTGTTTTCTGTATCTGGCCATCTATATATATATTAAGCTAAACATGAATTCATACTGATGTCTCAGACTCGAATCCATTGCCGCAGGGCTCATTCTTGCCTTCCTCTTGCTTATTTGTGACTTCTTTCTCTAACAGGGAGAAACCCCAGTCTCATTATCACCAACCTATCTACTCATTTGTTCAACCCTGGTATAGGTGTAAAGTAGTTTCAGAATTACTAACCTATACCCATGTGAGAATTGTATTTGCACTTCTTGTTTGAAGGAAATACATACAACACAGGTAGCGTCTCTACACTTCAGTATACAGAGATCTGAACAGTGTTCTCTCTGAGTGAATCATATTGCAGGACAGAAATTACTTTTAAAAATTCTGTAATGGGTCAGGCCTATAATCCTAGCACTTTGGGAGGCTGAGGTGGGCAGATCACCTGAGGTCAGGAGTTCGAGACCAGCCTGGCCAAAATGGTAAAACCCCATCTCTACAAAAAATACAAAAATTAGCCAGGCGTAGTGGTGTGTGCCTGTAATCCCAGCTACTCAGGAGGCTGAGGCACGAGAATCACTTGAACCTGGGAGGCAGAGCTTGCAGTGAGCTGAGATTGAGCCACTGCACTCCAGTCTGGGCGACAGAGCGAGACTCTGTCTCAAAAAAAAAAAAAAAAAAAAATTCCATAATGATAGCAGAGCTGGAATAGAAATGGGATTGCACAGGCTGAATCTGAGTTGTTGCAACAGTAAACGAGCAAGATTTAAACTGGCCTTGTGTAGCACTTGCTATTTGGCTCCTCATATTTTATTAGACGCTTATTCTTTTTTGTTTGGTGTCATTCCTTTGAGAAATATTTGAGTGCCTTTTCTGTTGCAGACATTGATTAGATGCTGAGGTTGTAACAATGAAGAAGATAGCCATCGCTGTTGCCTCATGGAACTGAAGTTTTACTAGATGTAAAATTTGAGTTAACATGAGGCCGTGCCCCTATGTGCCCTATTGTTTCTTCACACAGCTCCCTTCATCTCCTTGGTCCAATGAAAAGGTTTTTTCATACTTGTTCATTCATTCCTGCATTAATTAAAGTAGGTTGTACTGTGCCAGGCACTGGGAATATTTAAGTAGTTGTGTTCCTGAATTGGAAATGAATCCAGCATGGTTGGAGTAGAAGGAGCTGGGGGGCAATGTGGAGTGTGATGGGGAGATTGGAAAAGTAAGCTGAGACCAGATTTTTCAGTTTGGAGGGAGAGGTGGGCCTTGTAGGCCATATTACAGATTGTAGACTTTATTTGGAGGGACATGGAAGTCATTGAGGAGTCTGAAGCAGGGGAATGACATAAAAAGATCCTCATTTTAGGCCGGATGTGGTGGCTCACGCCTGTAATCCCAGCACTTTGGGAGGTTGAAGTGGGTGGATTGCTTGAGGCCAAGAGTTTGAGACTAGCCTGGGCAACATGGTGAAACCCTGTCTCTATCAAAAATACAAAAATTAGCTGGGCATGGTGGCTCACACCTGTAGTCCCAGCTACTTGGGAGGCTGAGGCATGAGAATCGCTTGAACCCGGGAGGCAGAGATTGCAGTGAGCCGAGATTGTGCCACTGCATTCCAGCCTGGGTGACAGAGTGAGACTTCGTGTCAAAAAAAAAACAAAAAACCCCTCATTTTGAAAGGGAACCCTGGCTTGAGGGTGAAGAATGGGTGGGCACTAGGCTAGAGCAGCTGCAGGGTCAGTGAGGAGCTGCCGCAGTGCTGCACGTGAGAACCCGTCATGGTTTGGTCAGGGTGGGCAGGACTGACAGTGAGCACAGAGCGAAGTAAAACCAGCAAAATTTCATGATTGGATAGTGGAAGGAATCATGGTGTTTGTAGTCTTCAAATGTGAACCCAGAGTGCACTGGACAAGTAGTCTAGGCTGCTCTGTAACCAAGGCAAGTGTTTTCATTTTACCCTCTCTTCCTGCTCTTGGCCTTTGGATTTTTTGTAATTTAAGGTTTATGAATGTAATCAGTTACTTAACATGGAAAGATACTTAATACCAGATGATTTTGGAGTCTTGTGATCAATACCTTCTCTCAATCTTGGGTGTGTGTCAGTTGGCAAGGCCATAAAATTTGTTATAAACATTGCAGAAGGCTTGGTTACTGTGCTGTGACGTTGAATTTGGGTGGAGATAGATCAATTTCAGTTGATTTTCTAGGCTTCAGAAACACATTACCCTCTACTCCACAAACACAAATCAAAACAAAACAATCCCTATTCCCTGAGCATTTCTCTTGATCTATAACACAGCCTGGGCTGTCACAGTACTAAGACAAGCCCATCTGATTTGTGAGTCAGTTTTATTTCTTGGTCTTCTACATAAGCTAAAAAGTTTCAACATTTTAATGCTTTTCCTTGGATTCCTTTGAGTCATTGAAGTAATTCCTGTTTCATTTGTACTAATTATTCCACACTAGAAAATTCTGTTGTAATCACTTTATGTATTAATAGAAATACTGATTTTTATTTTCAAGGAAGTATTGAGTAGGGAGGGGGAAATAGGGATTTGCTGTTCAATGGGTATAGAGTTTCAGTAATACAAGACAAAAAACTTCAGAGATCTTCTATACAGCAGTGGGTATATAGTTAACAATACTGCACATCTAACAGTTTGTTAAGAGGGTAGATCTCATGTCATGTGTTTTTAAAAATTGCTTTTAAAAAAAGTATCGAGTAAAAAAGCAGTTTTACTCCTCAGTTTCTATTTATATTTAAAATTTTTATTTAAAAAGTGAGTTGAGATTTTTAAACCTCAGGATAAGTTTTATTTTTTAAAAAATTTATTTTTTATTATTTTTTGAGATGGAGTCTCACTCCATCTCAAGTCACCCAGGCTGGAGTGCAGTGGTGTCTTGGCTCACTGCGACCTCTATCTCCCAGGTTCAAGTGTTTCTGCTGCTTCAGCCTCCTGAGTAGCTGGGATTACAGGTCTGCACCACCACGCCTGGCTAATTTTTGTATTTTTAGTAGAGATGGGGTGTCACCATGTTGGCCAGGTTTGTCTTGAACTCCTAACCTCAAGTGACCACCTGCCTTGGCCTCTCAAAGTGCTGGGATTACAGGTATGAGCCACAGTGCCCGGCGGGATAAGTTTTAAAATAATATTCTCTGCTGGCTGGGCATGGTGGCTCATGCCTGTAAACCCAGCACTTTGGGAGGCTGAGGCAGGAGCATCACTCGAGGCCAAGAGTTTGAGACCAGTCTGGGCAACATAATGAGACCCCCTCTCTACAAAAAATAAAAAAAATTTGGCTGAGTGTGGCATGTTCCTGTAGCTATCGGGAGGCTGAGATGGGAGGATTGCTTGAGCCCAGGAGTTTGAGGCTGCAGTGAGCTATGATTGCACCACTGCGCTCTAGTCTGGGTGACAGTGTGAGACCCTGTCTCTTAAAAAAAAAAAAAAAAAAGGCCAGGCACAGTGGCTCAGGCCTGTAACCCCAGCACTTTGGGAGGCCGAGGCGGGTGGATCACTTGAGGCCAGGAATTTGAGACCAGGCTGGCCAACATGATGAAACCCCGTCTCTACTAAAAATACAAAAATAAGCTGGGTGTTGTGGTGCACACCTGTAATCCCAGCTACTTGGGAGGCTGAGGGAGAGAATTGCTTGAACCTGGGAGGCAGAGGCTACAGTGAGCCGAGATCACACCACTGCACTCCAGCCTGGGTGACAGAGCAAGACTCCATCTCAAAAACAACAACAACAAAAAAACCAAATGTTCTTGCCAATTCTTCCATTTAATATTTAATTTTGAATTATATTGTATCTTTCTAAGGATTGTTTCTTATATAAGCAAAGATTTTTCAGTGCTAAACATTTACGACTGCTATTCAGAAATGGTTATTTACAAGTCTTTTTGTTTTAAGAAAATGGCTGTTCAAAAAATTAAAATAGTATATAAACCAAACAAAATATTTTTGCTTTGGATGTCTGTTTTGCAGCTTCTTCCCTACACTATAAGTTCTTACTGACTGCTTTATCACTTAATAAATTGGTTTGGCTACTTTAACAGAGGCAAATAGTATCAGGCAAAAAATTATTTTTTATTTTTATTTTTTGAGACAGTCTCACTCCATCACCCAGGCTGCAGTGCAGTGGCCTGATCTTGGCTCACTGCAACCTCCACCTCCCAGGTTCAAGCGATTCTCATGCCTCAGCCTCCTGAGTAGCTGGAATTATAGGCATGCACCACCACACTCAGCTAATTTTTGTATTTTTAGTAGAGACAGGGTTTTGCCATGTTGACCAGGCTAGTCTTGAACTCCTGACCTCAAGTGATCCATCTGCTTTGGCCTCCCAAAGTGCTGGGATAACAGGCATGAGCCACCATGCCCAGCCCTATTTTTTATTTTTTAGAGATGGGTCTCGCTTTTTAGAGATGGGTCTTGTTGCCCAGGCCAGAGTGCAGTGGTGCGATCATAGCTTACTGCAGCCTTGAATTCCTGGGCTCAAGCAATTCTCCTGCCTCAGCCTCCCGAGTAGCTGGGACTACAGGCCTGTGCCACCAGGCCTGGCTTGTACATTAGTATTTGATATGGCTACCCTAAGGGCAATCCTATAGTGAAGTCAACATTAGATAATGATGCTCATCTGATGGATTAGATTTTCAGAGTTGGCTGTTTCCAGGTGCCTATAGGAGTAGAAAAGGGTGACAAACCTCCTAACTAGATGTCCTACCAAATATAGTTCACTCCACATCTGAGATGAGACTGCATGACTGCTGGTTTTCTTTGCCTTTTCCCCCCCAGGGTATCATCAGAACCAAAAATAAAGTTTTAAAGGTGGGTCAGGTGTGTGTTGGCTCATGCCTGTAATCCTAGCACTTTGGGAGGCTGAGGCAGGTGGATCATCTGAGCTCAGGAGTTCAAGACCAGCCTGGCTAATAACATGGTTAAGCCCCATCTCTACTAAAATACAAAAAGTTAGCTGGGCATGGTGGTGGGCACCTGTAATCCCAGCTACTCAGGAGGCTGAGGCATGAAAATCGCTTGAACCCCAGAGGCGGGGGTTGCAGTGAGCCGAGATCATGCCACTGCACACTAGCCTGAACAACAGAGCAAGGCTCTGTCTCCAAACAAACAAAAATGGTGCCAGAGTCTTTTCCAGGGCTGAGGGGAGATACAATGAAGTGTGTTATTTTTTCTGATAAGAGTGCTACCATCTTTCATTCTTGTGTGCCATTTCTAGTTGGGGTGAATTTGTTTTCGGAGTTCCTTTCCCAGCTGTTTGCCTGAAAAACCATGAAATGTGTTCCACATGAACTATGAAATGATTAGATGCTAATGTGGCAAAGAAAGTGTGAATTCTCTTGTAGAAACAGGGACATTTGGTTCGGTACAGTAAGTTGTTAATGCGTGACTCTGTGCTTTCAAATTCTGTGGTTCAAAAGTACTTTTCACTCCTACTGTGTATTTACCTTGAGAAGGTGAATCCCCTAACAATTTGGTCAATGTATCAGTATTCTCAACCCGTCTATCAATTTTTTTTTCTTTCTCCCTCTTTTTTCTTTTTTTGGGCAAAATACCTTTTTTGCTTTTTATCCCCTTAAAATAACCATTGTCCCTCACATGTGCACTCTTCCAAATTTCAGAAAAGCAAGAGGAAAGGGCACGAATATACAAATATTAAGTATTCTCTAGCGGACCAGACGAGTGGAGATCAGAGCCCTCTCCCGCCTTGTACTCCAACGCCACCCTGTGCAGAGTAAGTAGTGCTGAAGGAAATTCTTTTTACCTGGTCATGGTGGTTTAAAAAGGTTTAAAAAACAAAAACAAAAACAAAACACAAGTTTGTAGCACATGCCTTTCACTGGTGCACGTTCCTGTTGCCCTACTGTTAGTGTATCTGTGACTGGTGATATCTATTGATTGTGTTAATGCTATCTCAACCACGTTTTAATTTTCCTAAGCTGGCCAGGCACGGTGGCTAACGCCTGTAATCCCAGTGCTTTGGGAGGCCGAGGTTCATGGATTACTTTGAAGTCAGGAGTTCGAGACCAGCCTGGCCAACATGGTGAAACCCTGTCTCTACTAAAAATACAAAAATTAGCCGGGCATGGTGGCGCATGCCTGTAATCCCAGCTACTCAGGAGGCTGAGGCAGGAGAATCGCTTGAACCCAGGAAACGGATGTTGCAGTGAGCCGAGATCATGCCACTGCACTCCAGCCTGGGCGATAGAGTGAGCCTCTGTCTAAAAATAAAATAAAATAAAATAAATTCCTAAACTGAAGGCTGACTGCTATGCTAGCTAGGATTATATGGGATTTTAAGTATATCAAGTGGTGGTTCTCCAAGAAGAATCTAATTTTTCTTTTGATGGGCTGGGGATTGTAACAAAGGAAGGTCATATGTCTTAATGATGTGTTAAGGCTCTTTGCAAAATCAAAGTAAATAAATTGACCACTAATGTGTCAGCCCAGCCATGTTCTGCTCATTTGCCACCAGTCAACAGAAATCTACTTTGGGTGTTTAAACCAGGAGTCAGCAAACTACAGCTCACAAGGCCAGATGTGGGCCATGGCCTGTTACTGTATGGCCTGTTAATGGTTTTAAAGGGTTGTAAAACAAAAGAACACAAAACAAAGACCCAATAACAAAACAAAGCCCGAAGAATAATATGCGACAGAGACCATGTATGGCATATAGAGCCTAAAATACTGACTCTCAAGCCCTTCCCAGAAATCCTTCCCGACTCCTTGTTGAAAACACGGTAGGAAAGCATTTGTCAAATTGAGGATATGAATAGCAATTGTAAGTTATTATTTTTCTATATATTCGAAAGTCACTTGCTAGTATAACATTTACCTTTTATTTTTCCCTAAGAATCTTCTCTCTGTTTGCTTTCGACATGGATTTTTAAACCCCTGCAGATTTTAATATTCTATATAAATGTTTTAGGTGGCATATATGAGGTTTGTATTAACATTTGCTTTCTATTTAACATTGAAATGAAATTATACAGCAGAGGTATTTTCTCGTCCAAGTTGCCACTTCTTTCTATCTTTTTTCTTTTCTTTCCCAGTGGACTGCCTGGGAAAATTGATATTTTAAATTGCTCTCTGCAATAATTTGCAATGGAACTGGAATGCCAGGGTTCTGAGTCCTTGCCAGACAGCTCGTCCCTCCTGTTGGCATGACTGAGTCAGCTGTCATGATTCCCTCAGTACCAGTGGCATGCCTGTGACAGACAGCCTGTCTGCCTTTCATTCCCGTCGTCTCCCTTGTAGGGTTCAGATCCAGGATACACTGGTCCTGGAGCCCCTCTCAGCCTGGCACCCACAGCTGCTGGGTTCCTTACTCTCCTGGACTGCTCTGATGTCATCTCCCTGCTCAGCAGAAAGAAGTCTGGGATCTTGATGCTTTGGCCCTCTGTCCTAGGCCCTAAACCACCCATTGCCCTTCACATAACCTGAGCTGGGGCTAAATAGATCTCTCATCACTGCCTGCCTGCTCCTGTATTTTCCCTTCTTGGAGCTTTTGCCTGTTCAGATCCCTCTACTGGAAATTAATAGGATTTCATTCTATGTGTGCATTTCCAACCTTTCTTCACAGTGCGATCCAAATGCCTCATCCTACAGGCCTCCTTAAAACAACCTGCTTTCTGCCAGACCCCAGGGAGCACCAGGACTTGAGGCTTTTATTGCACTTCTGTTGTTTTTTTGAGATGGAGTCTCGCTCTGTCGCCCAGGCTGGAGTGCAGTGGCACGATCTCTGCTCACTGCAACCTCCATCTCCCGAGTTCAAGAGATTCTTCTGCCTCAGCCTCTCAAGCAGCTGGGACTACAGGCATGTGCCATGACACCCGGATAATTTTTGTATTTTTAGTAGAGACGGGGTTCACCATATTGGCCAGGCTGGTCTCAAACTCCTGACCTCGTGATCCACCCACCTGGGCCTCCCAAAGTTCTGGGATTACAGGCGTGAGCCACCATGCCCAGCGTTATTTCACTTCTGCCTCTGTAATTATATTGCTGTATGGCTATCTCTTCTCTCCCTGGGAATGTCAGGTCCTAGGCACAGGAACTGTGTCTGTACCATATCTGGTGCCCAAAGAATGTAGTATGTGTTTTATAGATATCATGTAAGCTTAAACAGCGTGGTCTACATTTTTGTAAATGTCTTTCTTTTTCTTTTCTCTCCAGAATGAGAGAAGACAGTGCTAGAGTCTATGAAAACGTGGGCCTGATGCAACAGCAGAAAAGTTTCAGATGAGAAAACCTGCCAAAACTTCAGCACAGAAATAGGTATTTAAATGCAAGTGCTCTATTGGTTAATTGTTTATATAATTGGCAGTATTTTTAAGCAGGCAAGCAATTTGGGAATGTTTTAGCAAAGTGTACCATAATTGAGTTTTACAAACCAGGCTCCTTTTTCCTCTCCCTGTACTTCTTTTTCCAAGATGGTTTTAGTTTAGAGTTCATTAAACATTAAAATCAAACACAGAATTAATTCTGCATGAGGCAAGGCTAGCACTTATTCCAGAGAAATGGCTGATACTGGTGGTAGAGTGCAGGTATCACTGTTCCTGCAATTTTTATTAGAGTTGGTTAGCCCAGGCTGTGCTGGGGGATGATCTGTAGGGATCTGGGAAGCATCGGGACTCAGCACTGGGTGGTTGGGAGTCAGGAAGCCTGAGTTCTCATTTCAGTCAGTCTCTGACCAACTGTGTGGCATGGGGTGCTAGACCACTTGGCTGCCGACTGGGTCACCGACATCCCTTCCAGCTCTGCTGCTGGAAATTCATCTCTCCCATATGTTGCCTCCCCATCAATTACGTTTTTTAAGTGTGACCCAAGTATATGATGTATGTTTTCATGATAAATTAGAAACTTATCTGGGCATGGTGGCTCATACCTGTAATCCCAGCACTTTGGGAGGCTGAGGTGGGCGGATCACCTGAGGTCAGGAGTTCGAGACCAGCCTGACCAACTAAAATAGTAGAGACCAACCCGTCTCTACTAAAAATAGAAAATTAGCTGAGCATGGTGGTGCATGCCTATAATCCCAGCTACTCAGGAGGCTGAGGCAGGAGAGGCAGCGGTTGCAGTGTGCCAAGATCGCGCCATTGCACTCCACCTGGGCCACAAGAGTGAAACTCCATCTCAAAAAAAAAAAAAAAAAAAAAAAAACTCAGTGTCAGTATTTCATGTCGAAATTCCACTTCAATGGGTAGTGTAGTTAAAAGCTCTAAGTCTACCTTAAAATCACCTAATGCTTTGTTAAGCTTTTAGATATATGTTCCTTAAAAACTCTTAACTTATTTCTTCCCCAGATGTGGACTTTCACCCTCTCCCTAAAAAGATCAAGAACAGACGCAAGAAAGTTTATGTGAAGACAGAATTTGGATTTGGAAGGCTTGCAATGTGGTTGACTACCTTTTGATAAGCAAAATTTGAAACCATTTAAAGACCACTGTATTTTAACTCAACAATACCTGCTTCCCAATTACTCATTTCCTCAGATAAGAAGAAATCATCTCTACAATGTAGACAACATTATATTTTATAGAATTTGTTTGAAATTGAGGAAGCAGTTAAATTGTGCGCTGTATTTTGCAGATTATGGGGATTCAAATTCTAGTAATAGGCTTTTTTATTTTTATTTTTATACCCTTAACCAGTTTAATTTTTTTTTTCCTCATTGTTGGGGATGATGAGAAGAAATGATTTGGGAAAATTAAGTAACAACGACCTAGAAAAGTGAGAACAATCTCATTTACCATCATGTATCCAGTAGTGGATAATTCATTTTGATGGCTTCTATTTTTGGCCAAATGAGAATTAAGCCAGTGCCTGAGACTGTCAGAAGTTGACCTTTGCACTGGCATTAAAGAGTCATAGAAAAAGAATCATGGATATTTATGAATTAAGGTAAGAGGTGTGGCTTTTTTTTTTTTCTTTTTTCCAGCCGTTGACCAATTATAGTTCGGCTGTTGACTGAGAAGTTTGTGGTGGGAAAACGTTTGCCATATTTTCTTTGCATTTGAATAATTGTCTTGTACTTAGAAAAAAGGCGTCTATGAATGACCAGTGTTTTTGGTCGCCAAATGTTGCTGACAAACTTATCCCAAAACTTTAGTGGCTTAAAAAAACCTGCCCCCAACTGTTAGTCAATCTGAGCTGGGCTCAGCTGGGCTGTTCTTCTGCCAGCCTGCAGGTGGCCACTCATGTGGTCAGCAGGTCGGCGGAGAGACTGGGATGGCTGGGCTTCTCTCTCTGCCTGCAGTCCTGAGTCTCTCCTTCTTCGTGTAGTCTCTTTCAGTGGCCTGGCTGGCAGGGTAGCTAGACCTCTCACATGCAGCTCAGAGCTCCCAAGAGCTCAAAAGCAGAAATGGCCAGGCCTTCTGAAAACTTAAGTCCAGAATTGTCACAGTGTCCCTTCTACTTCCCTCTATTGATGATGATGATGATGATGATGATGATGATGATGATGATGATGATGGTTTTTTCTAATCAGAAGAAAGCTGGGGTATGCCCTCTACTTACTAAACAAGTCACAAGCCCAGCTCAGATTCAAGAAAAGGGTGTGAAGTAGAGGTGCAGTTAAGTGGGGGGCCACTAGTCTAACAGACGGTCACAACCAGTGCCATGGAAAACCAAGGATATTAGCAAAAGCAGAAGTTGCTAGTGACCTTGGGAAGCCGAAGCTGCTTACAGTAGCTGGGACAAGCTGAAAGTCAGACTAAGAAATAAAGAGAGGGCCTTCAAGAAGCTTCCTGAATGATTTCTGCTAGCCCTGAGCCTATTTTTGGAACCAGCACTTGGGGAAACTGATCTTGTGAGGATGGATGTGTTTAGGGACACAGGGCTTTTGAGAGCAGCACCACCCCACTGGGGCATCCCCAGACTTGGGAAACGTGACTCTTTCTTAATGCCACTGGGTTTTAGTCAGGCCACAGTGAGAAGGAACAGCCCTAACAGGCCTCCAGCCAGGTTGAATGAGCTCATTTTTGTTGTAGCCAACCAGTAAGATTTGCTAATGTTCTACATTAAGTGCCTTCTCCAAAGACATCCCTCTTTGCCTCATATGTTGAATCATCCAGTGCGGATATTTCAATGAAAATATCATTGGTTGACTTTTGTGATGGTAATAATGCTATGGCATCTTTGCCATGAAGTTGTGGCCTCCTTGGATTCTTCTGACTTTGGCTTCTGAAAGGAAGGCCTAGATCCAGCCCTGGTGGTAGTTCCTTTCTGAGGTCTCTCAGTCCCTTGAGACTTTGGGGTAGTTTGGCTGCCATTCTCACTGACAAAATGTATATCAGCCCCCACCTCCACCCCCCAATATTCCTTGAACTTTGAATTGCTTCAGAACACAGGTGTGGCCTGAAGGTATTCCCTTATTAGGGAAGTGTCACTGCTGTCTTCTAGTCAAACTTGTAAAGAAAAAGATTCCAGTTCAGTATTTGCAGCAAGAAGCTTGAATGCTGTTCTTTTTATCGCATTGTTACATCGACTCATTCTCCATTTTGCTTTGGTTTTGTCTTGACTTGACTTGACTTTGGGGGTAAAGTCTTTCACCAGCACACAAGAGTTTGATTGTACAAATATATCTTCTGCATTAACATCTCTGCCTGTTGCTTAAGATCAGTTGCTTTTATACTCAGAATGGAAATACCTGATCTTGGCTAGTTTTGTTATAAGATATTGATTTCATTTAGATTTCCCTCCACGAGGTCAGCAAACTATCATGTTCTTATGTAAACTTAGGCCAAGGCCAGAGTTATCATAGTCCCTAGGTTGCTACGGCTTATCATGTGCTTGGTAAAAGGTGATCGCAGGTTCTCAGACGAGTTTACTTTACATGAGATGGAATCAGGCAGAGAGGCTGGGATGATGGAGAAAGCTCGAGGTGAAGTTTTAAAAAAAAAGTTGTGGAAAGGAAAGTTCCAAAGAGGTGGTTTCTGAGGAAGTCAGAGCGCCCAGGGCCAGAGCAGTCAGTAATGGGTGAATGAGGTTGTTTGGAAAGTCGGTGTGACAGACACATGGATGCCATCTACTTCTAGGTTGCTGGTGGGTATTAAATATGCACAATATTCCATAGCTCACTGAGGATTTTAAAATTATAAGCATAGGATTTTATATTTTGGGGTGAAAGAATTATCTGGCACATTAGGTATTGGAGTTTAAAAAAAAAGCCAAATTTCACAGTCTTAATAACTTTTTTTAAAAAAAACTAAAAGGCGCTTCATGTCCAGTGTGTGGCCCTTCTGAAACTTATGGTCATCTCTCCCACTGAAACCAAGGTCTTTTCAAATGTGGCTAAATGGGGATGAGGAGACACGGGTAGGACTTTCTTGGTGTGTGTGCATTCTTTAAAGAGCCAAGTTGCTTCGGGGAAACAGCCAGGAAAATGGTCAAGATTATTTTTAGAGGTTATTTTATTGGGGATTTTAAGAACTAATAACATCTTGAGTTATTTTTAATTCAGGGGGATGTGGAAAGGTTTGCAATTGTCAAGTGTTTTGTTGTAGCTTAGTATCCATAAGGGAAACTTAGACTATAGACATAACTACAAAGCCAGTGCAGCTTTTGTTTTCTGTATGTTGTTGGGGGATCAACTTTCACACATAGCAAGCACATGGCCTCCCTGATGTCAGGATGCCTTTGTTAGGATCTGTATTTGCCCTTAATTTTGTTGAAATCTTTTTTCCTTCTTCCTCTTGAAAAGTTCCAAAATATAGTTTATTGTATCTTTCATCACTAAAAATTTGTTCCTTTTTCACTATGGGCAGTTCACACAAGGCAAAAACTATTGAACAGTTGGTTTTAGTGTGTTGTATAACTTTGCTGTATATCAAACTAATTTTGACAAGTTTTCATCCTAAGCCTCAAATCATGTAATTAATAATTTGCCTGTTTATTTATGACCTAATTGTGATTCTTTTATTAATAAAAGCTAATGGGAAAAGGATCCCTGATTAAGCTGATGACTAGACCTACAATTAATTTTCCTGCAGTATATGAAGTATTGTACCAGAGTATTAAAAGATATGTAATATTTTATTGATAAATCTATCCTTTAAAAGGAATACGTTTTAGGATGTCATCATTTTGATGTGAATCATGTAAATGTTGATAATATGCTGTTTATTATACATTTAGTGTTTCAAGAGATTCACTTAATTGCCTTTTTGCCCACGTATATTATGTAGTCTATTTGCAACTGTTCTTAAAAAAATGACATTAAAAGAATAGTTTATGTAGAGAAACATTAGTGGATGTTAATTGTCTCCCCACCTATATTTATGGGTGTTAGCGCAACTGCTTTGCTAGTTGCAAAGCTGTATTATCAGAGTAAAAGTGTATTTGTAAACTGTATGGGAACTAAAAATTAGGAATAAAACCATTTTCTTATATGATGGCATTTGTCGTTTGCTTCATCAGAAATGTCCAGGAAAAAAATGGGATTATTGGTCACTCCACCTCTCACACTGGCAAAATACTGACATTTAGCAGCTCTTATCTAGAAGTGACTTGGAACATAGAATAAAGGCATGAGTTCCTGAAGAATTCATTGAGTGTTTCCTGTAGAAATAGCTTTAGGAGATAGGGAGTTCTATCTGGGAGAACATATGAGTAACTCAAGAGTAAAAAGTATAGTCTGTGTAAACTATAGAAGAAATGCTGGGCATGGTGGCGCGCCCCTGTAATCTCAGCTACTTGGAGGCTGAGACGGGAGGATTCCTTGAACCCAGGAGCCCAGGAGTTTTAGACCAGTCTGGGTAACATAGTGAGACCCTTTCTCACCTACTCTCACTGCATGCCCCCCAAAAATATATATGTGCGCGCACGCGCGCGCACACACACATACACACACACACACACACACACACACACAGAGGAAATTGTTAGAAAACACACAGAACTGAATGTAAATAGTATTAGGTGGGAATAAGAAGTAAAGGGATGGTAAGGAGGCTTGGAGGAGGAGTAAATTATCTGCTATGGGACATCAGCTCTTCCTTTAGAGTAGGTTTAGGTCACATACCAACAGGGCCACTTTGTTCTGACAACAGTGTGCACTGACATGGGCAGAAAGAAACCATTTTATAGATAGCAAAACAGGTGGTTATTCTTTATTAGAAATATAAGGAATGATTTGGATTACTTATTTACACTGTAAAATACTATGACCCCCCTCTCAGTCTCATTTGAATTGTTTAATGCATCTAATCAAATCTAGCTGGTTTAGTTTGTTAGTCCTGTCACCTGTCCATTCAGAAATACAGAGCATGGGCCAGGCACAGTGACTCATGCCTGTAATCCCAGCACTTTGGGAAGCCAAGACGGGCGGATCACTTGAGGCCAGGGGTTCGATACCAGCCTGGCCGACATGGCGAAACCCCGCCTCTATTAAAGATACTAAAATTAGTTGGCCATGGTGGCGCATGCTTGTAATCCCAGCTACTCGGGAGGCTGAGGCATGAGACTTGCTTGAGCCCAGGAGGTGGAGGTTGCAGTGAGCCAAAATTGCGCCACTGCACTCTAGCCCTCTAGCCTAGGCGACAGAGTGAGACTCTCTCTCAAAAGAATAAATAAATAAAAATAACAGAGCACCTTCAAAATACTAGGCACTACACCTGTGCCCTGGGGAGGAACGCTGCCCGAAACAACCTGATAGGGTGCCTGTCTACCAGGGAGCTAGGCCTTGCACCGTCAGAAGGCAGTTCCTGAAGCTGCCCAGAGCCAAGACAAAAGACAGAAGTGAGACGACTAGTTCCAAACAAGATAAGAGCCATGAAGAGGGGCTAAGAGTGTGTATCGCACCGGAGGATTACTACGGGGTTTTCAAACCATGGTACTGTTTGGTGATTACCCTTGGGTTTCAGAAGAGGTGCTGTACACAATATTGCTTGGAGACACCTCATTCCACATAATCCTTCTTGAGGTCCTGGATTGCATGTTAGAGGGCAGTGACAATATCTTGTCCTTGGCCATGCCATGAAATGACCTTCTGTTTGTGTAGTTCCTACTCACAAGAAGAGTTCCCAAGAAAATGAGTACATTAAAGGCAGAGCCGGAATCCCTGCAATAAATCCTGCGGACAGAGATGAGGAATTATTCAACGTGGTCACCTTGTGAATGAAAAAGCTTCTGGTGTGAGGGTCTACTGTTGGCTCATATGACATGTATGCTTTCATCCACCTCTTCTCTTCGCCTCTACGAGGGGGTAGCAAAAAGGGGACTGTGATCTCAAGTGAATGGTTTGATTTTGCAGGTGCTGTTATTTTTCCCCTAGGAACTAGCTAAGTTTCCAAACACTGAATTTGCAAATGGGATGAGCCAGAAATAGAGATTTGCTATTTTGTCAGTGGTGACAGTTACCAGTGAGCTGGTAATATTCAAGTCACTGGAGGTCAGATCATTTAAATCCTCAAATACCATCATGATAGAAAATATAGCTACTGAAATAAGGGTTACAAGAAAGCAATACCATACTGCCAAGATCTGTGAGCAGTTTACGGACAAAGGAATTGTATGTGATGCGCAGACATGATGTCATTTCTACCTGTTACACTGAACTAAACAGAGTTTGTTTGGGATCCAAATTTTCCATTTGGCAAAGATTAAATCCCCAATAACAGTTAGGCATCGGGAAGCAGATGAATAAAATAGTTCATGCATCTGAGGAGCTATGCATGGAGTCATAGTCAGGGAGACATATATATTCAAATATTTGTCATTTGACTAGAATAGACAATGATAAGATTATTAACTTAAATTGATGGTTGCATAGAGGAGTGAATTATAGTGAGGTTAGAATTCAGAGAAGGGGTCACCTGAGCTTACTCTGTCCCCCAGGCTGGAATGCAGTGGTGAGATCTCAGCTCACTGCAACCTCTGCCTCCCAGGTTCAAGTGATTCTCCTGCCTCAGCCTCCTGAGTAGCTGGAATTACAGGCATGTACCACCACATCAGGCTAATTTTTGTATTTTTATTAGAGATTGGGTTTCACCATGTTGGCCAGGCTGGTCTCGAACTCCTGACCTCAGGTGATCCACCCACCTCAGCCACCCAAAGTGCTGGGATTACAGGCGCGAACCAGTGAGCCACTGCGCCCAGCTCCCTGTCTCTTTTTTTTTTTTTTTTTTTTGACACAAGGTCTCACTGTGTTGCCCAGGCTGGAGTGTAGTGGCACAATCTTGGCTCTGCAACCTCTCCCTCCCAGGTTCAAGCAATTTTCATGCCTCAGCCTCCCGAGTAGCTGAGATTGCAGGCGCAAACCACCACGTCTGGCTATTTTTTGTATATTTTGTAGAGGGGAGGGTTTTGCCATGCTGGACAGGCTGGTCTCGAACTTCTGAGCTCAAGTGATCTGCCCACCTTGGCCTCCCAAAGTGTTGGGATTATAGACGTGAGTCACTGCACCCAGCAGCATTTCTCTTTAAAGTGAGGCTGAGCGTCTTTCCATGTGGTTTTCATGTGATTTTCTGGGAATTCTTCATGTCTCTTGGCATTTTTGCCTATTGAATTCTGGTTCTGTCTTGCTTTGAGTTTAGGAATAAAGATATTTTATTATTATTATTATTATTTCAGACAGGGTCTCACTCCGTTGCTTAGGCTGGAATGCAGTGGTGTGATCTTGGCTCACTGCAACCTCTATTTGCCAGGCTCAAGTGATCCTCCCACTTCAGCCTCCTGAGTAGCTGGGACTATAGGCATGCGCGACCAAACCCAGCTAATTTTTTTAAATTTTTTGTGTAGATGGTGTCCCACTATATTCTCCAGGCTGGTTTTGCACTCCTGGGCTCAAACAAACCTCCTGTCTTGGTTCATCAAAGTGCTGGGATTACAAGTGTGAGTCACTGTGCCCAGCCAAGATATTTAATTCTTTACAACGGACTGCCATGACTGGAGTTATTGAATCAGTAGGATCAATTTCAATCAAATGCCTTTTTATAGGTGCATGTGGGATAGCTACCCCTATGTGTGAGTTGCAGTTTTGGCCTTGCTGTGATTATAATTCTCAGTGCGGATGGGGAGAACAGCCTGGGAAATGCATTCTCAGCACTCCCAAGATGGTGAAACCTTGTCTCAGCTGCCATGTGAGACCAGTCTTAATTATCCTGGTGAGTGAGTTGAGAATTATTTCAGATTTTCTTTCATATTCAAAACCACCAAGCAGTATGCATGCATGCACCCATTCAAGCACTTTTTAATGAGTACAATGAACCAGGCATTGGGCTAGGTGCTTTGGGGAATACAAAATAAATACTTGTCTTAATCCCTGTCTGAACGGACTTTATGGCAATGGCCCATTTAGGGAGAGGAGACACACACAGGCTGAATACAAGATGGAAAACAAAACAGCTATGGAGGGAGCCTGGATCAAGACCTTAAGATGAAGGATTGAAGGAAATGATAATTCCTTTAATTTACTGACAATTAGGTGCCAAACACTGTCAGCGGGTTTATATAATGATATGGTTTGGCTCTGTGTCCCCACCCAAATCTCATCTTGACTTGTAATCCCCACACGCTGAGAGAATGACCTGGTGGGAGGTGATTGGATCAAGGGGGCAGTTTCCTTCATGCTGTTTTCATGATAGTGAGTAAGTTCTCCTGAGATCAGATGGTTTAAAAGTGTGGCACTGGCCAGGCGCAGTGGCTCACGCCTGCAATCCCAGCACTTTGGGAGGCCAAGGTGGTTGGATCACCTGAGGTCAGGAGTTCGAGACCAGCCTGACCAATATGGCGAAACCCCGTCTCTACTAAAAATATGAAAATTAGCTGGGCGTGGTGGCAGGCACCTGTAATCCCAGCTACTTGGGAGGCTGAGGCAGGAGGATTGCTTGAACCAGGGAGATGGAGGTTGCAGTGAGCCAAGATTGCGCCACTGCACTCCAACCTGGGTGACAGAGCGAGACTCTGTCTCAAAACAAAAACAAAAACAAAAACAAAAAACACAGAGGTTGGCCTTGACTCCTTCCTTCCCGCTCCCATTCCAGACCCTGCTTGTTCAGCCCCCAGCCACTTCTGCTCATGGTCCTTCCAAAATATATATCCACGGTTTGTCGCCTCTCCCTAGCTCTGCTACCACCACAATGGGGAGCCTCTGTTATCTCTGAAAGACAAGAAGGTAGGGCACCAGTCTTCCTGGAACCTGGTTAGATTTTTTTCTCCCCCACTGGAGACATGGTCTTGCTCTGTCACCCAGGCTGGAGTGCAGTGGCCCCATCATAACTCACTGCAGCCTCCTACCCCTGGATTCAAGGGATCCCCCCAACCTCAGCCTCTTTAATAGCTGGGACTACAGGCGCAGGCCACCATACCGGCTAAGTTTTTTAATTTTTTAATTTATTATTATTATTTTTTGAGACAGAGTCTCACTCTGTCACCCAGGCTGCAGTGCAGTGGCATGATCTCCACTCACTGCAGCCTCCGCCCCCCCAGGTTTAAGCAATTTTCATGCCTCAGCCTCTTGAATAGCTGAGATTACAGCTGTGCGCCACCATGACCGGCTAATTTTTTAATATTTTTAGCAGAGACGGGGTTTTACAATGTTGGCCAGGCTGGTCTCAAACTCCTGGCCTCAAGTGACCTTCCTGCCTTGGCCTCCTGCATCGCTGGGATTACAGGTGTGAGCCACTGCACCCAGCTCCGATCTGCTAAGATCTTATGTGGCCTCCCCATCTCCACTCAGACCCCACTTCTGCCATTCTCCCCACAGAGCCATCTGTTAAACATGCACATGGGATTCTGCTGCCCTCCTGTTCCCCAGTGGCCTCCCATCACATTCAGAATAAAAGCCAAATTCTTTACTGGCCTTTTGGAGTGGGCAGAACTTTACTGCATCAGACTCTCTGGTATATTTTAGGATTTTTTGCTTCCTGGGCCTCCACCCAGTAAATGTCAATAGTGTTCATAGTTACTGTGACAACCACACACGTCCCACACATTACCAAATTCCCCCGGAGGCCCTTAGTGTTTCCCCTGATGGAGAAGCATTGCGTGATTCTGTGGCCTCTTCCATGCCTCCTACCTCACCATGCCATCATTCACCCAACAATATATATCAAACACTTTTTTTTTTTGTGAGATAGAGTCTCACTCTGTAGCCCAGGCTGGAGTGCAGTGGCAGGATCTCAGCTCACTGCAGCCTGCCTCCTGGGTTCAAGTGATTCTCATGCCTCAGCCTCCTGAGTAGCTGAGACCAGAGGCACACGCCACCACGCCCGGCTAATTTTTGTATTTTTAGTAGAGATGGGCAGGGCTGGTCTCGAACTCCTGACCTCAAGAGATCCACCCGCCTCAGCCTCCCCATGTGCCGGGATTACAGGCATGAGCCACCACGCACGGCCTATTCTGCTCTTTTTATTTGTTGATGGGTTGTCTGTCTTCTCCATGAGAATGCCAGCTCCAAGAGGACAGGGAGTTGGCCTTGTTTATTGCAGTATCCCCAGTGCCTACAACAGTGCCTGGCCCAGGGTAGGTATGAATGGGTGATTGAACAAACGAGTGAATGACATCATTCTAGAGAAGTCAGCCACGTGAGGATCTGGAGGGAGAGCATTTCAGGAAAGAGGATGTGTACGTGCAAATGTCCTGCTGCAGGAATCAGCTTGGGCACGTTTGAGGACTAGACAGCTAAAAGGAAGAGCAGATTTGGGGAAAAGGTGCTGGGTTCAGTCTTGAACATTTTACAGTTGTATCTGAGGTGCCATATATCTGCCAGGATCTGGGAAGAAAACGAAGTTCACTCACAAGGGTTGAACTGAAGAGAATTTTAAGAAGGGACTGTTTGTGTAAGTAAGCAGGGTTCAGGGTTGCAACGTGGGAGGGTGAAACACCAGGGACCTACATCAGGAGGGAGCTCCTTACACCTACATTAGCAGGGATGCTTTCCTTCTGGGGGCTCTAGGGGAGAATCTGCTCTCTTGCCTTTTCCAGCTTTTCGAGGCTGCCCACATTCCTTAGCTTGTGACGCCTCTGTCCATCTTCAAAGCCGGCGATGGCCGGTCAAGCCTTTCTCACATTACATTTCTCATTTTGGACATTCCTGCCTCTTCTCCCACTTATTAACACCCTGATGATGAAATCCGATCCACCAGATAATCCAGAATAATCTTCCCACCTCAAGATCCTTGACCTAATACTATCTGCAAAGTCCCTTTTGCCATGTAAAGTAACATATTCACAGGTTCCAGGGATGAGGATGAGGACATCTTTGGGGGCCCATTCTGCTTATCACAGTACCCTTGGGTCTTAAGGATATAAGGATGGTAGGCCAGGCATGGTGGCTCATGCCTGTAATCCCAGCACTTTGGGAGGCCGAGGCGGGCAGATCACCTTGACCAACATGGTGTAACCCCACCTCTACTAAAAATACAGAAATTAGCCAGGCGTGGTGGCACGTGCCTGTAATCCTAGCTACTTGGGAGGCTGAGGCAGGAGAATAGCTTGAACCCAGGAGGTGGAGGTTGTAGTGAGCTGAGATAGCGCTACTGCACTCCAACCTGGACGATAGAGCGAGACTACATTTCACACACACACACACACACACACACACACACACACACACACGCTACTGCACTCCAACCTGGACGATAGAGCGAGACTACATTTCACACACACACACACACACACACACACACACACACACACACACACACAAAAGGATACAGGGATGGAAGAACAGGAACAGTATTCCTGGAATCTGGAAAGACCTGGAGCCATGGAGAAGGACTCCCCTGCTGGAGCTGCAGCCCCAGAAGGGCTGAGTGAGGAAGGGCCAAATGCACTGAACTCTCTCTCCTGCCTCCCTTTGATCTCCAGGGCTGCCTCTCATTGTTCCAGCCTATCTGCAGGCCAGGTGGCCAAGCTGTGCAGGTGCTGCAGCCTGCAGGGCTTAGCGTCCCCGGCCCAGAGCAGGGCAAATAATGGATCTGGGGTGGAGATGGGGGGCAAATGGAGAGTAACACTTAAGGTGTGGCCTGTGCATCAGCAGCCTCAGCCTGGTCTGTAACTGTTGGAAATGCAGAGTCTCGGATCCCACCCAAGCCCCACTGGATCAGAATCTGCATTTTATCCACGAGATCTCTAGGGGATTCATAGGTGCATTTGCAGTTTGAGACAAGCTGCACTGGAGGACTATTGATTTATTCTTAGAGACGGGACCTTGCTCTGTCTCCCAGACTGGAGTGCAGCAGTGTAATCATAGCTCACTACAGCCTCGAACTCCTGGCTCAGGCTATCCCCCTGCCTCAGCCTCCCAAGTAGCTGGGACCACAGGTGCACATCACCACATCCAGCTAATTAAAAAAAAAAATTTTTTTTTAAATAGAGACATGATTTCACTATGTTGCCCACATTGGTCTTGAACTCATGGACTCAAGCGATCCTCCCACTTTGGTCTCCCAAAGTGCTGGGATTACAGATATGAGCCACCATGCGCCGCTGCACTGGAGGATTTCCACGTGGAGATAAAGGCTGTTGGAAATTATGCCCATGCTTGGGTCAGCTCATCTCTTGAGAATCATTTGATATCACAAGAGAAGCCACGAAGTCTAGGCTATGGAGTAAGAAGAAATCCAAAGACTAGATTTCAAAGAACAAGACAAGCATTATCACAAAATGTCTTGAAAATAGCTTCAGATATTCTTAGACATTACACCTACCAAAACTGAATTTGTGAAATCCTAAGCATATGTTACATCCATCTAACCATAGGAAGAGAAGAGAAAAAAAAAATGTAAAGGAAGCAAACTCTAAAATTAAAATCTGTTCAGGAGGTGACGGATGTCTGGGTCTTGACGGATTTCTAGACTTGTAAAAAGTAGTTGTTTTTTTCATCTTCATTCATCCATGTTTGATTGTTGCTTTCTCAGGACCATTATTTTTTTTTTCTCATAGGAAAATTAATTTCTTTCTTTCTAAAGTGTTGATTCTCCCGTGTTGCTTTGTATGAAGGCTTTAGAAAATGTCTAACAATGGTTTGAGTGATAGACG
This sequence comes from Homo sapiens, assembly GCF_000001405.40. Taxonomy (NCBI): domain Eukaryota; kingdom Metazoa; phylum Chordata; class Mammalia; order Primates; family Hominidae; genus Homo; species Homo sapiens. The sequence continues at coordinate 112,518,504 of NC_000012.12, forward strand.
GAAAAAACTCCAGTGCCTCAGCTACACAAAAGACTCTCTAGCGAGGTCCTATTGTGCATTGATTTACTGTGTTGAATAACTTTTCCACATTCGAAAATGCATTAAAGCTCTTATTTAGGACCATCTAATTCCTGTCTTTAGAGTTAACAATCAACCATCAGGTTTCTGCTTAGGGTAAGTTAAAACAGGCGTTTTGGTTGAGGACGATAAATACCTCTGCGTTTTAGGCTGCAGGTGCAGATGGAGCATTCTGTTCTAGGCATGTTGATTTAGGAGGAAAATCGGAGTTTTGGAACTTTACAGGCTTGGGTTACTTTCCTGGTTTTGCCATTTACTAGCTGTGCGACCTTGGGCTTGTCAGTAAAGGCCTTCGGTCTGCCCATCCTCTTTAGAAAAATGGAGCTACTTTTCCTACTTTGTTGGGAAGGGTTGTTGAGAAGTTTAATATTAATGGATGGCCTGGCACATAGTGGGTGCTCAGTAAACAGCTGTGTTTTTCCTATGGGGCTAGGGAATGTCTTTCAGGCTTTTGACATAGCCTGTTGCTGGGGTCGTATTGTGTCCGGAATTGGTGGGTTCTTGTTCTCACTGACTTCAAGAATGAAGCTGCGGACCCTCGCGATGAGTGTTACAGTTCTTAAAGGCGGCGTGTCCGGAGTTTGTTCCTTCTGACGTTCGGATGTGTTCAGTTTCTTCCTTCTGGTGGGTTCGTGGTCTCACTGGCTCAGGAGTGAAGCTGCAGACTTTCACGGTGAATGTTACAGCTCTTAAGGCCGCGCGTCTGGAGTTGTTCCTTCCTCCCGGTGGGCTGGTGGGCTCGTGGTCTCGCTGGCTTCAGAAGTGAAGCTGCAGACCTTCGCGGTGAGTGTTTCAGCTCATAAAGGCAGTGTGGACCCAAAGAGTGAGCAGTAGCAAGATTTATTGCAAAGAGCAAAAGAACAAAGCTTCCACAGTGTGGAAGAGGACCCCAGTGGGTTGCCACTGCTGGCTCGGGCAGCCTGCTTTTATTCTCTTATCTGGCCCCACCCACATCCTGCTGATTGGTAGAGCGGAGTGGTCTGTTTTGCCAGGGCACTGATTGGTGCGTTTACAATCCCTGAGCTAGACACAAAGGTTCTCCAAGTCCCCCCCAGATTAGCTAGATACAGAGTGTGGACACAAAGGTTCTCCAAGTCCCCACCAGAGTAGCTAGATACAGAGTGTCGATTGGTGCATTCACAAACCCAGAGCTAGACACAGGGTGCTGATTGGTGTGTTTACAAACCTTGAGCTAGATACAGAGTGCCAGTTGGTGTATTTATAATCCCTGAGTTAGACACAAAGGTTCTCCACGTCCCCACCAGACTCAGGAGCCCAGCTGGCTTCACCCAGTAGATCCTGCACCAGGGCTGCAGGTGGAGCTGCCTGCCAGTCCCATGCAGTGCGACTGCACTCCTCAGCCCTTGGGTGGTCGATGGGACTGGGCACCCTGGAGCAGAGGGCGGTGCTCGTAGGCGAGGCTCTGGCCGCACAGGAGCCTATGGAGGTGGGGGGAGGCTCAGGCATGGCGGGCTGCAGGTCCCAAGCCCTGCTCCACGGGAAGGCAGCTAAGGCCCTGCGAGAAATTGAGCACAGCAGCTGCTGGCCCAGGTGCTAAGCCCCTCACTGCCCGGGGCCGGTGGGGCCGGCCTGCCGCTCCAAGTGTGGGGTCCGCTGAGCCCACGCCCACCAGGAACTCGCGCTGGCCCGCAAGCACCGCGCACAGCCCCGGTTCCTGCCCGCGCCTCTCCCTCCACACCTCCCCGCAAGCTGAGGGAGCCGGCTCCGGCCTTGGCCAGCCCAGAAAGGGGCTCCCACAGTGCAGTGGCGGGCTGAAGGGCTCCTCAAGTGCCGCCAAAATGGGAGCCCAGGCAGAGGAGGCGCCTAGAGCGAGCGAGGGCTGTTAAGGGCTGCCAGCATGCTGTCACCTCTCAGTATGAATTTACCAGTTGGTAACGCATAGCAGGGAGAATCAGTGCACAATATTCACAGATTGCATTAGGGTTTAGATAGCTCTTCCAAGAGGTAATTGTTAAGCAAAAACCTTTTACTTTTATTGCAGTCTATTATTAGTATTGGAAGTCCTCAGTTAGATTTTCTCCCTGGTATGGAATGAAAACTTAATTCAAACACACACAGGAGAGGCAAACATGTTATTATTTGCTAATGGCTTTTAATCTTGGGAAGAGAGATAGATTGATTATCACCTCTGCCTTGGATAATTGGGGGAAGTGCTTCCATTTTGGAGAGGGTGATTTTTAAAGAGTTGAGAGTGGGGGAAGGCTGAGAGTCAAGAGCTGGTTAGGAGTCGTGCCTGTGTGATTTTGGTAACTTAAGCTTCTAGAGCCTCAGTTTCCTCACTGAAGAATGTGGCTGACAATTGTACCGTACTGCCCATGCCACTGTGAGGATTAAATGAGCTAATAGACATCATGGGAACAATTGTTGGTTTTTTTTTTTTTTTTTTTTGAGACTGAGATTAGCTCTGTCGCCTAGGCTGGACTGCAGTGGCACGATCTCAGCTCACTGCAACCTCTGCCTCCCGGGTTCAAGTGATTCTCGTGCCTCAGCCTCCCAAGTAGCTGGGATTACAGGCACCTGCCACCACGTTTGGCTAATTTTTGTATTTTTAGTAGAGACAGGGTTTCACCATGTTGTCCAGGCTGGTCTCAAACTCCTGACCTCAGGTGATCTGCCCTTCTTGGCCTCCCAAAGTATTGAGATTATAGGCATGAGCCACCACGCATGGCCTGTTTTTGAGGCAGGGTCTCGCTCTGTTGCTTAGGCTGGAGTACAGTGGTGGGATCTTAGCTTACTGCAATCTCCGCCTCCTGGGCTCAAGCCATCCTCCTGTCTCAGCCTCCTGAGTAGCTGGAACTACAGGCACACACCACCACGCTCGGCTAATTTTTGAATTTTTTGTAGAGATGAGGGTCTTGCTATGTTGCCCAGGCTTGTTTTGAACTCCTGAGCTCAAGCGATCCACCTGCCTTGGCCTCCCAGAGTGCTGGGATTACAGGCGTCAGCCACCGCACTGGCGAGAATGATTGTTTATTTGTAGTATCCCACAACAGAAGTACCACCCCCTGCAAATGTTCCTTTAAAGAAAAATGGTTATGGTGTCAGTTGTGCTATTTTCCATACACTGAAGTCTGATGCATCAGTGGAAAGGAGTGGATCACATCAACACAGATAAATCATACGAAGGGTTGAGGGAGACAAGCCAATCATAGAATCATATGAACAGAACGAGACCATTTATTTTGCATGTTCAGCAACATGCAAAAGCAAATAATACAATGTTTGCAGAAGAAAAATTACAACTGGGCATGGTGGCTCACGCCTGTAATCCCAGCACTTTGGGTGGCTGAGGCAGGTGGATCACTTGAAATCAGGAGATCGAGACCAGCCTGGCCAACATGGTGAAACCACATCTCTACTAAAAATACAAAAATTAGCCAGGCGTGGTAGCGGGCGCCTGTAGTCCCAGCTACTCGGGAGGCTGAGGCACAAGAATCACTTGAACCCAGGAGGTGGAGGTTGCAGTGAGCCCAGATGGTGCCATTGTACTCCAGCCTCAGCAACAGAGCAAGACTCCGTCTCAAACAATCAAACAAACAAACAACTGTGTATGGATCTCAAAGTTTTTTTGCACCAAAATAAACTCATACTAACTTGTTACAACACGTCTGAACAGGATCTAGTTTGAGGCACTAAGAAGGATAAGACATCTGTTTGAAAAGAACCCCTGTCAGAGCAACATGAATTCTCCTAAAACTGAAGTAAGAACAAACATCAAGTTTATGGTGAAGCTCGGGTGGAAGGATGGTGAAATCACTAATGCCTTATGAAAAGTTTGTGGGGAAAATGTGGTAGATAAATCAGCAGTTTACAAATGGATATCTCATTTTAAGAAGGGACAAGACAATATTGACTTGCCAGGCATGGTGGCACACGCCCGACATTCCAGCTACTGTGGAGGCTGAGGTGGGAGAATTGCTTGAGCCCAGGAGGTGGAGGCTGCACTGAGTCAAGATTGCACCACTGCACTCCAGCCTGGGTGACAGAGTGAGACTCCATCTCAAAAAAGAAAAAAAAGACAATGTCGAAAATGAGGTGCACAGTGGCAGATCATCCACATCAATTTTCGAGGAGAAAATTATCTTATTTGTGCCCTAACTGAAGAGGACTGATGATTAACAGCAGAAACAATAGCCAGCACCATAGACATCTCCATTGGTTCTGCTTACACCATTCTGAGTGAAAAATTAAAGTTGAGCAATGCCACTCATGAGTGTAAAATTATTACACCCAGATCAGCTGCAGACAAAAGCAGAGTTTTCAATGGAAATTTAAACAAATGAGATCAAGATCCTGAACATTTATTTGAAGAATTGTAACAGGAGATGAAACATTTACCATTATGATCCTGAAAACTAAGCCCAAGCGAAGCCATGGATACTAAGAGGTAGAAGTAGTCCAGTCAAAGCAAAAGCAGACCGGTCAAGAGCAAGGTCATGGCAACAGTTTTCGGGGATGCTCCAGGCATTTTGCTTGTTGACTTTCTGGAGGGCCAAAGAATGATAACATCTGCTGATTATGAGAGTGTTTTGAGAGAGCTAGCTAAAGCTTTAACCAGAAAAACACCTGGGAAACCTTCACCAGAAAGTCCTCCTCCACTATGACAACACTACTGCTCATTCCTCTCATCAAACAAGGACGATTTTGTAAGAGTTTTTATGGGAAATTATTAGGCATCCACTTTACAGTTCTGATTCTGCACCTTCTGACTTCTTTTTGTTTCTTAATCTTAAAAAAATCTTCAAAGGGCCCATTTTTCTACTGTTAATAATGTAAAAAAGACTGCATTGACAGGGTTCAATTCCCAGGACCCTCAGTTCTTCAGGGTTGGACTAAATGGCTGGTATCATGACTTACAAAAGTGTCATGATCTTTGCTGGGCACAGTGGTTCATGCCTATAAGTGAGAGGATTGCTTGAACCTAGGAGATTGAGGCTGCAGTGAGCCATGATCATGGCACTGCACTCCAGCCTGGGTGACAGAGCAACACCCTGTGTCAAAAAAAAAAAAAAAAAAAAAAGTCATGATCTTGATGGAGCTTATGTTGAGAAATAAAATTTATATTTTATATTTTTATCTTTTACTTCAATATCTATGAACTTTTTGAAGTCCCCTTGTATATACAGGCACTGTGCTAAGGTGCCTGACATGGATTCTCTTATTAAATCCACAAAACAACCATACTGGGTAGGTGCTATGGTTATCTTCATTTTACAGATGTGTAAACTGAGGCCTGATATCATTTGGCTCTGTGTCCCACCCAAATCTCATAATCTAAAACTGTAATCCCCATGTGTCAGAGGAGGGGCCTGGCAGGAGCTGATTGGATCATCGGGGTGGATTTCCCCCTTGCTGTTCTTGTGATAGTGAGTTCTCATGAGATCTTACGGTTTAAAAGTGTGGCAGTCCCCCTTCACTGTCTCGCCTGCCGCCATTTAAGATGTGCCTTGCTTCTCCTTCACTTTGTGCCATAATTGTAAGTTTCCTGAGGCCTCCCCACCCATGTGAGTCAATTAAACTTCTATCACCCACTCTAAGCTATGTCTTTATAGCAGTGTGAGAACGGACTAACCCAAGGCTGTTAGCTGCCATCTGTTAATTGAGCATTTATTAAGTGCTATGTACCATCTTACTGAAGTAAGATGCATGATCTTACTTCACTTCCAGAAACCTTAGGAACTATACTGAAAACACAACTTTAGACCAGGGTTGGCAAACTTTTCCTATAAAGGTCCAGATAGTAAATATTTGATGCTTTTGTGAGCCGTACGATGATCTCTGTCGAGACTGTTCAACTCTGTTGCTGTGGTGCAAAAGCAGCCAGAGATGATTCATAAATGGATGAGCATGACTGTGTTCCAATAAAACTTTATTGAGGAACATTGATGTTTAAATTTTATTTCATTTTCACTTGAAAACGATCACAAAATATCATTTTTCCTTCCTTTTTTGTTTTTTTTTTTGAGACAGAGTTTCACTCTGTCACCCAGGCTGGAGTGCAGTGGGAGGATCACAGCCCACTCAAAGGGATCCTCCCACCCTAACTTCCTAAGTAGCTGGGACTACAGGCATGCACCACCATGCCCAGCTAATTTTTCTTTTAATTTTTTCCAACTATTTAAAAATGTAAAATTGTTCCTAATTCACAAGTCATATGAAAACAAGCAGTGGGGCTGGAACTGGCTTGTGGGCCGGGCTGTGGTTTGCCAAGCCTGGCTTTAGGCCATCAGTTCCCTGAGGGCTGGAAACTTGCTGACCCTGCTCAGTGTGGTATGCCCAGTTTCCGACTCACCACCAGGTGGTCAGAACAAGTTTGCTGAATGAATGAGTAAATGTACGTTGATATCTCAGAAGGTGAAAGTGATGTTTCTACTTTGGGCAACAACTCTGACATACCTAGCATTTTTTAGGGTGCAATATTAATAATCATGTCAGATTACAGGTGTACACTGGGGCTGTCTCAGGCAAACCAGGATGCATGGCTATGCCAATGTTCTTCACCAGGAAGATGATTCTTTGCCATAATGACAGTAGGACACCAACCCCTGTGTGTGTGTGTGTGTGTGTGTGTTTGCACACATGCCTGAGAGTGCTGAACAAAATTATGAATTTTTCTTTTTTTGTTTTGTTTTGTTTTTTTAAGTCAAGGTCTTGCAATGTTGCCCAGGTTGGAGTGCAGTGGCTATTTATGAGTGTGATCATAGCATACTGCAGTCTCTAATTCGTAGTCTCAAGCAATGCTCTTGCTTCAGCTTCCTGAATAGCTGGAACTATAGGTGTGTGCCATCACGCCCAGCCTCCCACAAGCCTGCAGAAGAGCTGCAAAAATAATATACTGATTCGATGAACACCCATGCCCGTCACCCTAATGTGGCCATCTTTAACATTGTGCCACATGTGCGCTATCCACCACCTATCATCGTTAGCTATCAATCCAACTATCTGTTCTATCTATCTATCTATCTATCTATCTATCTATCTATCTATCTATCTATCTATCTGATCTACCTGTATTCATCTATCTGTATCTATCATCTATCTTGTATCTATATCTCTGTATCTATCTATCTATCTATCCTATCTATCTCTATCTTATTATTTTTTCCTGGGTACGAAGTGCAGACATCACGGCATTTCACCCCTTCCATACTGCAATGTGCATCTCTTAAGAACACAGACATCCTTTTTCATAACCACAATATATTGTTCATATTTAGAAAATTTAACATTGATACAATACTATCATATGAGATACAGTCAGTATTTGAATTTTCCCAGTAATGTATTTTACAGGACCCAATTAAGGATCATGCATGGCATTTATTAGTCATTTTTATTCAGTCTCTTGGAATCCAGAACAGTCCCTTCCTTCTTTTTGTCTTTCATGGCGTGGGTACTTGAAGAGCATAGATCAGGTGTTTCGTACAGAGTCTCTCAATGTGGATTTGTTTGATTGCTTCCTGGTGATTGCATTGGAGTTAAATATTTCTGGTAAAAATATGATATTGGTGATGTTGTGTTCTTAGTGCATTCCATCACCAGGCACGTAATGTCATTTGTCCCATTATCAATGACGTTAACCTTGATTACCTGGTTAAGGTGATATTGTCAGATTTCTCCCCTGTAAAGGAAACTTTTCCATTCATAATTAACAACTGCCATTTTGTAACTCAGGAGAAATATCATTCAGGTGAAGAAATCATTGAAGAGTGTAAGCAGGAAAAGACAAAACAGGTGTAAGAGGCTCTGTCTGGCAGACACTGTTGGCCCAGCTTCCAGGTTCTTACAAGCTTAAGGGTGACTGCATGCAACCAGTGAAATAGCTGATGGCTTTTTGCTCCGTGGCTGTATGTATGCAAAACAGCGCTCTTGCCCAGCAACTGTAGATTTATTGATTGTGTTAACTCTCCATGATTCAGTAATTCGGGCTGACTGCCGGGGTGCAGCAAATCTTTCTTGAGAAGTTGCATTAGTTTTCACATCATGTAGCTGCCAAAGTAGAGGACGTGGCCAGCTTCCCCTCCTCTCTACCGTCTTTCCAAGGGCAGCAGCTCAGACACATGCTGTTCCAGACCACTATATCTCTCACCTGATGATGATAATAGTCCCCCACAACATCCACTCTGCTCGCCTCCTCACCCTGGTGCATTCTCCTTGAAGCAGCCTCAGTGAACTTTGCAAAAACTTAAATCAGGCTGGGCATGGTGGCTCACGCCTGTAATCCCAACACTTTGGGAGGCTGAGGCGGGTGGATCACCTGAGGTGAGGAGTTCGAGACCAGCTGGCCAACGTGGTGAAACCCCGTCTCTACTAAAAATACAAAAATTAGCTGGGTGTGGTGGTGAGCGCCTGTAGTCCCGCCTATTTGGGAGGCTGAGGCAGGAGAATGGCTTGAACCCGGTAGGTGGAGGTTGCAGTGAGCCAAGATTGTGCCACTGCACTCCAGCTTGGGTGACAGAGTAAGACTGTGTCTTAAAAAAAAAAAACCCAAAAAACAAACACCCCCCACCCTCAAATCAGATGATTAACCCTCTCCTTGAAACTTCTCCCATTGCCCTTAGAATAAAGATCTAAATCCTTACTGTGACCTACCCTGGATGGCCTGGCCCTTGCCTTTCTCTCAGATCTCATTTTCTTCCTCTCTTGCCTGTTGCTGCTTTCTGAACTCAGCCACAATGCCTTTCTTTCTGTTTTACAAAAATGCTTCTACCTCAGGGCCTTTGCATATGCTTACAATTCTTCTGCCAGAGACACTCCTCTTTCATTCTCCCACTAAGATAACAGTTTGTGTTGTGTGCTCACTAGGGAGGGCTCCAGTTTCAGGTATGACTGGATCCCAAGGCTCCAATAAAGTTGGAGGGAATTTATCTCTTGACTCAGTGTTGGCTTTGTGGAGGCCATTTCTCTTCTCATGGTGGCAAGACGGCTGCCAATATCTCCAGGCTTACATCCTACCTTCTCTGTAGCTCCTATGAAAAGAGAGCCCCTTTTTCCTGATAGTTCTTAAACGGATTATGGGATTGGCTTGAATTGGATCACCACAGGTCCCATGTCTACTCCTGAGCCAATTCCTATGGGCAGGAGGATGGAATGCACTCATTGGTCAGGCCTGGGTCCTGTGACCACCCCTAGGAAGAGGGCGTGGATTGGCCTTTCCTACACCTCATGGACTAAAAATGGGGGGAGGCGAATTCCCCTAAAGAAAACAGGGGTGCTGTTACCAGATGAGGGGGAGTGCATACTGGGGGGCAGCAAAATAAAACATGCCCATTATGGGATGTAGTATGGATTCAAGGAGGCAAAGCTTGAAGCACCTTTATCTGGAAGATGCTAACTTCTTTTTTTTTAAACGGAGTCTCGCTGTGTCGCCCAGGCTGGAGTGCAGTGGCACTATCGCGGCTCACTGCAAGCTCCGCCTCCCGGGTTCGCGCCATTCTCCTGCCTCAGCCTCCCGAGTAGCTGGGACTACAGGCGCCCACCACCATGCCCAGCTAATTTTTTTGTATTTTTAGTAGAGACGGGGTTTCACCTTGTTAGCCAGCATGGTCTCGATCTCCTGACCTCGTGATCCACCGGCCTTGGCCTCCCAAAGTGCTGGGATTACAGGCGTGAGCCACCGTGCTCGGCCCTATTTATTTATTTATTGAGACAGAGTCTCGCTCTGTCACCCAGGCTGGAGTGCAGTAGTGCAATCTCAGCTCACTGTAGTCTCCGCCTCCTGGGTTCAAGCGATTCTTCTGCCTCAGCCTCCTGAGCAGCTGGGATTACAGGCCACCATGGCCGGGTAATTTTTGTATTTTTATTAGAGACTGGGTTTCACCATGTTGGCCAGGCTTGTCTGAAACTACTGGCCTCAGGTGATCTGCCCAACTCATCCTCCCAAAGTGTTGGGATTATAGGTGTGAGCCACCGTGCCCGGCCCAGGCTGTCTTTTAAATTGTGCCTGGCTTTTATTTACCCTTACTGTTTTCTCAACAGGTCAAGGACAGAACTGACACCCCCTTACAACAAATCTCCACACCTTGGCCACTTTAAGTAATTGGTATTTTATTTTAATTTTTTAAGAGACAGGGTCTCACTCTGTCATCCTGGCTGAGGGCAGTGGAAAGATCATGGCTCACTGCAGCCTCAAACTCCTGGGCTCAATTGATCTTCCTGCATCTGCCTCTTGAGTAGTGGGGACTGTAGGCATGCACCACCATGCGCTGCCAACCAAAGATACTAACATTGTAACTACAGGTGTGCACCACCATGCTCAGCTTATTTTTTTGTTTTTGTTTTTGTTTTTGAGACAGAGTCTCATTCTGTCACTGAGGCTGGAGTGCAGTGACTCAATCTCGGCTCACTGCAACCTCTGCCTCCCAGGTTCAAATGATTCTCTTGCCTGAGCCACCCGAGTAGCTGGGATGACAGGTGCCTGCCACCATGCCTGGCTAAGTTTTGTATTTTTAGTAGAGATTGGGTTTCTCCATGTTGGCCAGGCTGGTCTCGAACTCCTGACCTCAGGTGATCCACCTGCCTTGGCCTCCCAAAGTGTTAGGATTACAGGCGTGAGCCACTGCGCCCGGCCAGCTAATTTTTTATTGTTTTATTTTTTGTAGAGACAGGGTTTTATCATGTTGCCCGGGCTGGTCTTGAACTCCTAGACTCATGCAATCCATCTGCCTTGGCCTCTCAAAGTGCTGGAATTACAGGCGTCAGCCACCATGCCCAGCCATGTGTTTTTATTTAAAAATTTTTTATATTAGGCCGGGTGTGATGGTTTGTGCCTGTGATCCCAGCACTTCACGAGGTCAAGGTGGGCGGATCACCTGAGGTCAGGAGTTCAAGACCAGCCTGGCCAACATGGTGAAACCCAATCTCTACTAAAAATACAAAAATTAGCTGGGCATGGTGGCACGTGCCTATAATCCCAGCTAGTCCGGAGGCTGAGGCAGGAGAATTGCTTGAACCCAAGAGGCAGAGGCTGCACTCCAGCCTGGGCAACACAGTGAGACTCTCTCTCTTGAAAAAAGTATTTATTTTAGGTCAGGTGAAGTGTCCATGCCTGTAATCCTAGCACTTTGGGAGGCCAAGGTGGGAGGATTGCTTAAAGCCAGGACTTCAAGTCCAGCCTGGGAAACACAGCAAGACCTTGTCTCTACAAACAATTAAAAAAAATTATCCTGTGTTTTTATTTCCTTTTTCTCCAGGAATGCAAACTTGAATTAATTTCACAAACCAAAGGAGAACATTGCAGGAATTTTTATTTATTTATTTATTTTTAATTTTTTGTATTTACATACATTGTTTCATTTATTTTTCTAATTACCAGTCCTCAAAGTAGATGTTATTCCCATTTTACAAGGAAAAGTTGAGGCTTAATGAGTTTAACTTTCCCAAGGACACTTAATTAATGATAGAAGAATGAGGAATCCCAATATAGGACTGATGGTAAACCTATCCTTTTGGTTATGTTGCTGTTCTCTCTCTCTCTGTCTCTGTCTCTCTGTGTGTGTATTGTCCATATAAAGAACCCAGTTGATTATGAAATGCAATTAGAAGCTGTTATTTTTGGGACTCTTGCCATGGCTGGAGTAGGCTTAAATTTAAGAGACACAGCTCTTGCCACTGATTAGTTTCTCACAGCACTCTCATGCCTGGGAAGGGCGTCATCAACCAGTTGATCACGTCAGCTGGAGTAACTAGCAGTCGCTAATGAGGACCTTTCCCCAAGCATCTATATCTGAGAATTTCAGAGATTCACAAATGCAATTTAGAAATGTCATTATGTAGTTACATAAATGTTTAATTTTTCCACCCATATGTTTACACTTTGAATATTTTTGAATATTTGAATATTTTCTATAAGCCATGTATTGTTTTATTATTATTATTATTATTATTATTATTATTATTATTATACTTTAAGTTTTAGGGTACATGTGCACAATGTGCAGGTTAGTTACATATGTATACATGTGCCATGCTGGTGCGCTGCACCCACTAACTCGTCACCTTGCATTAGGTATATCTCCCAATGCTATCCCTCCGCCCTCCCCCCACCCCACAACAGTCCATTGCAGGAATTTTTAATGGCAAAAAGAAAAAAAAAAATCAAGTTCCCTGAGGCTAACTACAACATGGATTGCAATATACCAGCATTCACCACCCCTGGGAGGGTTGCTAAAGCTTTCACTTTTATGGCCGTTTTGTTTTTGTTTTGTTTTCTTCATAAAGGCAGTTTGGAGAAGATGAAGATATTTTAGTCTTTGGCAAATCATTTTGTTTAATGGCCACTGACTGCTTCTCAAGTTTTTATAAAATTTTATAAAAGCCTTCATTTTTGGGAGGCTTTTCATGTTGGATACCTAAGGAGATGAACCCATTTAACAGAGATCTAGACTGAAGTGTCCAGTCTTTCCTCCTAGGATAGGCTCTGGGAGTCCTGATGTGCAGAGAATCTCCAGGCAGACTGAGAATGACATCTGTGTAAATAGTGCCTTTGGTCAAGCTTTCTCTATCTTCTGGACCTCGGTTTGCCTCTGTAATTGGAGGGGGAAACCACAGAGAAATGCAGTGTATGGTACTAAGGATGACTGTAGATCATGCAAGGATAGAACTTTAAATACCCTTGAATCAGCTGGTTAGAAAGTTCTCCCTTTTCTCAGTTCTCTTTTGGTCTTTCTGAAAACTTCAGCTTTGTGCTAATAGGGTTCGTTACCACAGACTGAATGTTTGTGCACCCCACACCCCCCAAAATTCATAGCTTTCAGCTTTAACCCTCCAGTGGCATAGTATTAGGAGGTGAGGCCTTTGGGAGGTGATTAGGTTTAATGGGGTTATGAGGGTAGGGGGCCTTATGATGGAATTAGTGCCCTTATAAGACCACCAGAGCTTCATTTCTTGCCACTGAGGAGACAGCAAGAAGGCTGCTGTCTACAAGCCAGGAAGGGAGTCCTCACCAGAACTCAATCATGATCTTGGACTTCCCAGCCTCCAAAACTGTGAGAAGAAAACACCTGTTGTTTAAGCCACTCAGTCTATGGTAGTTTGCTAGAGCAGTTGAAGTTGACTACGACAATGGCTTTCACGCCAGATGTTTGCTGATCTCTCTTTATAACAAAGAAAATGTAATAACATCACTTTTAATTTTGTATTTATGTTTTTCCCTTAACTTCTAATTTTTTTGTTTTGTTTTTGGAGATGGAATCTCACTCTGTTGCCCAGGCTGCAGTGCAGTGGCACGATCTCGGCTCACTGCAACCTCTGCCTCCTGAGTTCAAGCGATTCTCCTACCTCAGGCTCTTGAGTAGCTGGGACTACAGGTGCACGGCACCACACCCGGCTAATTTTTGTATTTTTTAGTAGAGATGGGGTTTCATCATATTGGCCAGGCTGGTCTTGAACTCCTGACCTCAGGTCATCCACCGTTCTCGGCCTCCCAAAGTGTTGGGATTACAGGCGTGAGCCACTGCACCCAGCCTCCCCTTAACTTCTATGTAGCCAGTGCTAAGTGGTTTTTCAATTAAAACAACAACAACCACTACCATCACTTATGCTACTAATTCCAGGTACTTTTCTAAAGGTTTTTACATGTATAGCTCATTTAATCCTCTTAAGGGGTAAGATACTGTCATTATTACCGTTTTATAGATGAGAAAACCAAATCAGAGAGGTGAAAGCACTTGCCTAAGGTCACACAGCTAGTAAGTACCAGAGCTGGGGTCTGGACTCAGGAAATCTGCTTCCAGAGCCTGTGCTGTAAACCATTCTACTTTGCTAATGCATGACATAATGTTTCCTTTTAAAATGTATTTGCACACACACACACAGAGGATGGGGGAGAGGCCATTAAAAAATTAATAGAAAATAAAGTATCTGTAATAGGGAAATGGGAAAATGGTGACTGTAGTTCTGAACAACTGAAACATGGGAAACACTGGACACTCTTGGTATCTAGAATTCTATTTTTTAAATTAATTAATTGATTAATTTGACACAGAGTCTCACTCTGTTTTCCAGGCTGGAGTGCAATGGTGCAATCTCGGCTCACTGCAACTTCTGCCTCCCAGATTCAAGCGATTCTCCTGCCTCAGTCTCCTGAGTAGCTGGGATTACAGGCCACCACACCTGGCTAATTTTTTTGTATTTTATGTATTTTTTTTTTTTTGTATGTGGTGGCTAAAAAATTAGCCACCACACCTGGCTAATTTTTTTGTATTTTAAGTAGAGACAGGATTTCACCATGTTGGCCAGGCTAGTCTTGAACTCCTGACCTCAGGTGATCTGCCCGCCTCGGCCTCGTAAAGTGCTAGGATTACAGGCGTGAGCCACCGTGCCTGGCCTATTTTTTATTTTTTTGAGATGGAGTCTCTCTCTGTCACCCAGACTGGAGTGCAGTGGCATGATCTTGGCTCACTGCAACCTCAGCCTCTGGGGTTCAAGTGATTCTCCTGCCTCAGCCTCCTGTGTAGCTGGGATTACAGGCATGCGCCACCACACCTGGCTAATTTTTGTATTTTTAGTAGAGACGGGGTTTTGCCATGTTGGCCAGGCTGGTCTTGAACTCCTGACTTCAAGTGGTCCACCTGCCTCAGCCTCCCAAAGTGCTGGGATTACAGACGTGAGCCACTGTGCCTGCCCAAGGTATCTAGAATTCTATACATTACAAACATGCCTGCACTGGACACAGGAGGAAGCCAGATGGAAGCACCTGAGTATATGCTAAACAACAGTACTGGGTAGTTTAAAAAAAACTGCTTATTTGGCTGGGTGTGGTGGTTCACACCTGTGGTGGGAGGATCACTTGAGACCAGAAGTTTGAGGCTGCAGTGAGCTATGATCGTGCCACTGCACTCCAGCCTGGGTGACAAAGCAAGACCTTGTCTCTAAGATAGAATAAAATGAGATAAAATCGCTTATCTAAAGGGAGAAATGTCTTCCTTTCATAGCCACAGAGCCCGGTGCCTTCCTTTAAGGGGATGGGGAGAGCTGGACTTCTTGCATCTGACCTTGCTCGAGGCTGGGGTCTGATGTCCTTTAGTCGTGATGCCCGCACCTCATCATTGGGTGGGTGGTTAAAATGTACTGTCTGTGGAGTGAGTGTGGGTGTGGGAGCTGACCTCCAGCCAGCGTAATTAATGGGCTTTTTGCATCGGACAGGCACCTCCCATTCTACAGGCAGCAGAGACGGATGGAGGAGTCTTAATGCTGCATCAGGGACAGCTGTGGGCAGCTCACCTGGATTTTTTTTTCTTCCTGTTTTTCAAGAGACAGGCTCTTGCTCTGTCACCCAGGCTGGAGTGCAGGGGTGTAATCTTGGCTCACTGTGCCCTGGGACTCCTGGGTTCAAGTCATCCTCCTGCCTCAGCCTCCTGTGTAGCTGGGACTACAGGCGTGCACCACCACATCTGGCTCATTTTTTATTTATTTATTTATTTATTTATTTATTTTTTGAGATGGAGTCTCACTCTGTCGTCCAGGCTGTGGTGCAGTGGTGCGATCTCGGCTCACTGCAAGCTCCGCCTCCCGGGTTCACGCCATTCTCCTGCCTCAGCCTCCCAAGTAGCTGGGACTACAGGTGCCCGCCACCACGCCTGGCTAATTTTTTGTATTTTTAGTAGAGATGGGGTCTCACCATGTTCACCAGGATGGTCTCGATCTCCTGACCTCGAGATCCGCCTGCCTCGGCCTCCCAAAGTGCTGGGATTACAGGTGTGAGTCACTGCGCCCGGCCATCTGGCTCATTTTTAAAAACTTGTTTGTAGAGATGGGGGGTGGGGGTATCTCACTATGTTGCCCAGCTGGTCTCGAACTCCTGGCCTCAAGCAATCCTCCTACCTTGGCTTCCCAAAGTGTTGAGATTACAGGTGTGAGCCACTGTGTCCATCCTTCACCTGGACTTCTGTGTCATCCTGTCTCCCTCTGCTTTGTAAACAGATCCAAATTCTAGTTTTTACCTTAATCCTACCCTAACCCTAACCCCATGTCAACACCTACCCTAACTTTAACCTTTATCCTAACCCTTATCTATATCCTAATCCTAATCTTACCTGTCCCCTCGTCCTAAGCTTTGCCATAAACTTAACCCTTATCCCTAACCTTTTTCTTAACTGTAACCCTTATCTGTCCCTAACACTTAACCCTAATCCTTCCCTAATCCTCCATTTCTCCTCTGTAGCCACACATTTATTTGTTTACTTATTCATTTATTTTTCACCCATATTTATTGAGCATCTGCTCTGTCAGTGAGGGTTCCACCAGGAGAGAGAAGGCACAATTTAACTACGTAATTGAGGCGAATTTGATAAAAGGACGGTTTACCATGAGGTGGGTGAGGTCAAAGGAACTGAAGAGTATACTGAGGCACTGAGCTGGGGGCTAGCCTGGTGAGGAGCAGTTACCACCCGTGGGGTGAAGGGAGTGTTGGGGGAACCCAGTGACAGGCAGTGCTCTAGAGGAGGGGCTGCTGGCAGGCACTGTTGTCAGGGAGGTGTATTGTCGCAGTTTTTGCCATAAAACAGCCCAGATCGGGAAGGGGGCGAGAAGGGAGTACCTGGACCTCCTCCTCCTCTTGCCTTCCTGGCCTCTGTGAGTACTAGTTGCTGGACCTGCCCCCTATAGGCTGGACCTGCCTGGAACCAGAGTGCAGAAGTCCGTGGGGGTCAGCTCCTGGCCCAGGACATAGGCAGGGTGGAGGATGGCTCCGAGTGGGGAGCGGACAGGAATGAGGGTAACCAGCATGTATACTGTGTGTCAGGCACTGTTCTGGGCCCAGAGTAACAGCAAGTGAACAAGGCACACAAAAATTCCCACCCTCTAGCTGGGCATGGAGTCTCACACCTATAATCCCAGCACTTGGGTGGCCGAGGCGGGTGAATCACCTGAGGTCAGGAGTTCGTGACCAGCCTGGCCAACATGGCGAAACCCCGTCTCTACTAAAAATACAAAAATTAGCCAGGTGTGGAGGCAGGTGCCTGTAACCCAGCTACTCGGGAGGCTGAGGCTGGAAAATCACTTGAACCCGGCAGGCAGAGGTTGCAGTGAGCTGAGATTATGCCATTGCGTTCCAGCCTGGGTGACAGAGCGAGACTCGGTCTCAAAAAACAAAACAAAACAAAACAAAAAACCCACCCTCATGAAATTTGCCTTGTAGTGGGAGAAGAGAGCCCAAGTAGCAAGTTAACAAATGACAATTTCAAACAGTGAGAAATGCTGTGAAAATAAAGAAGGATAACAGACCGAGCAGAGTCAGCATATTTTTTTTCTGTAAAGGGTTGGATGTTAGATATTTTGGTTTTATGAGCCCTAGGATCTTTGTCACAACTGTTCAACTCTGTCATTGTAGCACAAAAGCAGCCACAAATGATCTGCAAATGGATGGGCACGGCTGTGTTCAAATAAAACTTTATTTACAGACTGGTACAGTGTAATCTCAGCACTTTGGGAAGCTAAGGCAGGAGGAATTACTTGAGCCCAGTGATCTTGAGTTTGAGACCAACTTGGGCCACATAGCAAGACCCCATCTCTCCAAGAAAAAAAAAAATTAGCTGACATGGTGGTGTGTGCCTATAATCCTGGCTACTTGGGAGGCTGAGGTGGGAGGATTGCTTGAGCCCAAGAGTCCGAGGCTGCAGTGAGCTATGATGGTGCCACTGAACTGCAGCCTGGGCAACAGAGCAAGACCCTGTCTCAAAAAACAAAAACAAAAACAAAAACAAAACAAAAAAGCAGGCAGTGGGCTGGATTTGGCTTGCTGATCTCCAGGCTAGAGAATGACTTGGTGGTAGAGGTGGAGGGGCTGCGGTAGGCAGTGGTTAGATAGGGTGGTCAAGGAAGGCCTCTCTGAGGAGGTGACGTTGACCTGAGGCCTGAAAGACAAGAGGGCTTGTCATGAACCAGGCCGGCAAAGACCTGGATCTGAGTCTTAGAGAGGGAACAGCATTCATGCAGCAGCAGATATTCACCAAGCCAGGTAAATATCTCTCTGTGCTAGGTATTATTGTAGGCCCGGGGGTGCTCAGCAGCAAACAAAGCAGACAAAACGCCTGTCCTGGTAGAAGTGACAGTCCAGACAAAGGCCATGAGGGTGCAGTGGTGGGTTGGGGCATGGTGCGGCAAGAGTTGAGCATCTTCCAGGATTTGAGGATCTTAAAGGATTTAATAGAACCTAAGAGACCAGAAGACATGGGGTGGGAGGGAGGAATGGGCAAGGATACAGGACTTGTGGAGAGCAGTTTGCAGGAAAAAGCTTATGTTTAGAGATGATCTTTTTCACCCTGCTCTGCAGTGCGGGTGCATCCAGGCGCAAGAAATGCCAAGTGCTGGAGGCAGAGGCTGGGTGAGGCCAAGCCACCAGCGCTGGTTGGAATTGGCAGGACAACTCGGGGAGGGTGGCCCTGGCTATCTCTGGCATGGCTTTCAGGGGAATGAAACACACTTCATATCCCCACTTTTAGGGAACACAAATGGCATTGTTTATGTACCTGTCTCCCATGGGATGCTGTACTGGAGTGCCCAGGCTGTCTTCCATTCATGGAACCAGAGCTGGGAGGCTTGGTCCAGGGATCCCATTCAACAACCCTCAGGTGGCCTCTGGCCCATAGATCCATAGCTGCATCTTTTTTTTTTTTTTTTTTTTGAGACAGAGTCTTACACTGTCGCCGAGGCTGGACTGTAGTGGCATGATAATAGCTCACTGCAGCCTCCATTCCCCAGGCTCAAGCAATTCTCCCACCTCAGCCTCTGGAGTTGCTGGGACCACACATACGCACCACCATGCCTGGCTAATTTTTTAAATTTTTTTGTAGAGATGCGGTCTCCTTATGTTGCCCAGGCTGGTCTCAAACTTCTGGGCTCCAGCAATCCTCCTACCTCGGCCTCCCAAGGTGCTGGAATTACAGGTGTGAGCCACCACATCTGCCTAGATGCATCTTATTTGATCCCAGACAGGATTTTTTTTGTTTTTGTTTCTTTTAAATTGAGGTGAAATTCACATAACATAAAATGAAGAGTTTTAGCGAGTACCATTCAAGGCATTTCGTACATTGTGGTGCAACCATAACCCCTATTTAGTTCCAAAACATTTTCGTCACCCCAAAAGAAAATCCTGTTTATCATACAGTGACTTCCCATTTTCTCCTCCCAGACGGGATTTTAAAAATATGCAAATTAGTTAACATGAAGAGGAAAAGGAGATTTTTTCATTTAAATTAGATTTCAGCTTTCTTTTTCTCCTTCCTTCTTTCCCTCCTTCCTTCCTTCCTTCATTCCTTTCTTCCCTTCCTCTCTCCTTCCTTCCTTCCTTCCTTCCTTCCTTCCTTCCTTCCTTCCTTCCTTCCTTCCTTCCTTCCTTCCTTCTCTCCTTCCCTCCTTCTGAGACAGGGTCTCACTTTGTTGTATAGGCTGAAGTGCAATGGCATGATCATAGCTCACTTCAGCCTCGACCTCTAGGGCTCAAGCAATTCTCCTGTCTCAGCCTCCCAAGTACCTGGGACTGCAGGCAGATGTCACCACACCCAGCCCAGATTTCAGCTTTCTCTTGAAAAACAGGACTGCCTGGCAATAACAGGTCTGCATTCTTCCCTGGCAACAAATGGCAGCCACCCCCTTTCCAGGGGGCCCAAGCATTCCTTTCGCCAGAGTCCTTACCACTTCCTGTGTCTGTGACATGGTGGTTGAGTGCCACTTGTTGTCATGTATCAGCACATTCCTGTTGTTACAGTAGAGTTAGGAGAAAAGTGAAGTATTTCTTTTAACCAGTGCCACTTTGAAAGGGGAAGAACAAAAGGTGGATTGAGAGGGCTGTGTGATCAAAGTCGATGAGAAATGAGCATTTTTCTTTTTTCTTTTTTTTTTTTTTTTTGAGATGGAGTCTTGCTCTGTCGCCCAGGCTGAAGTGCAGTGGCACAATCTCGGCTCACTGCAACCTCTGCCTTCTGGTTTCAAGTGATTCTCCTGCCTCAGCCTCCCGAGTAGCTGGGATTACAGGCACCCGTCACCAGGCCCAGCTAATTTTTGTATTTTTTTTTAGTAGAGACGGGGTTTCACCATGTTGGCCAGGCTGGTCTCGAACTCCTGACCTCGTGATCCGCCCACCTTGGCCTCCCAAAGTGCTGGGACAAGACATGAGCATTTTTCTTTGTAGAAATAATGCTCTTCTTACAGGCTTAATGTGCAAAGTGTGTCTGTGACAAAAAAAAAAAATACAATCTCAGAAATTACTGGAGACAAACCTTTTTGATTTCACTCCCTATTATACCTGGCTTCTGTAAAGCAGACCTCACTCACTCTATTCACTGTAACTCATTCTCACTGAGGCTCAGAGAGGGCAAGTGGCTTGCTCAAGGACACACAGCATCTTTGTCAATGCAGAGCTGGGGCTGGAGCTCAGACTGCTTGCTTCCTCATCGTGTGCTTGTTTTACTTTGTCATCATCTGTGAAACTGTCTGCAATTGCCACCTCTCTCTGGGGACACACCTGAGTCCTCACAGTCTCTGGAAGAAAGTGCAGTGGGATTCTTTAATCTCTCCGGCTGCATTTCATCTTTCCCAAGTGTTAATGGAAAAAAAAAAAACAAAAAAAAAAACACCTGGGTTATCTCCCTGGCATTTTGCCATCTCAGAGAGATGTTTTTAAAAATGATGATTTCTTTATCTTTCCCCGAATACAAATTTTCATTCTAGCAACCTCTGCTAAAGGCAGCTTGGCCAGACCTGACCCAGCCATCTCTCCTTGCTCTGGCCCCACAGCCCAGCCTTCCTATTTATCAGGGGTGACATCATATATCCAGGCTCCCAGGCTGTCCAACCTTGGATTGACACATTTTTGAATTTTTTCTTTTTTATTCCCGCTATCCAAGTAGTTATGAACTCCTTTGGTGAATGCACTGATTTTTGCCATCTAGTGGTTAAAAAAAAAAAAAAAGAAAAAAGGGAGTCGGGAGACATGGGCATCAGACAGTCCTGGGTTCTGCTCCTGACTCTGCCAGTTTTTGTGTATGAGCTCTGGGCAAGTTTGGTAATGTCATCAAAACCTCAGTTCCAAGACCCCTTTCAATGGAGCACTTGCTGCCCCAACTGCTGGGGGTGCTGACAGCAGATGGCTCTCAGCTGTTAACCCCTTTAGCAATCCCTTCAGCTGCAGAGCCACCTCGTTCAAGGTTATTCCACTTCCTGGGACAGTTCACAGCCCAAGATAGATCAAGATGGGGCATAAAGGCTTGTCCATCTGGACCCAACTGGAGACATCACCAATTTAGCTCCAGGACTCTCGGTAGGGTAGGCTAGGATGTGGTCGGCCCTGCATCACAGCTCAACTTCCCCCTATGCCCATTCCTGCTTCCTTCCTCAATCTTCCCCAGGGATTGATTCCAAGGGACCTCCTTAATATGTCAACTGGATGCTAAACTTGATCTCAAAGACAGCTTGCTGGGGAATGTCACTTGGGATAGTGGGTGGTAACCACACCTACACCACTGCCTTGTTTCGGGGATCAATGAGGCAGTCGTGGTAGCTGGCACATAGTAAGTGTTCAGATAGTGTCATTAATTATTAGCATATTTATTCACTAAGTGCCAGGCATTGTTCAGGGCACATGAGACACAAGTGGGCATTATCAGCTCCGGTTCACAGTTGAGAAGCCAAGACTTGCCAAAGGTCACACGGTTCATTCATGGTCCAGCTGAATCTCAGCTTGGGGGCAATCAGCTCCTAAAGAGACTGGGCTTTTCAGAGGAGCCTACCTGGCTGGCACCAGTCCCAACCCTGGACTGCTTGTCTGTGTGGTCTCTGGCACATCAGGACTCTCTCTGAGCGCCAAGTTCCACAACTGTAAAATGGGATGAAACAGAGCCCGACTTTGAGAATTGTTGTGGGGATTTGATGAGTGAATCCTTGTAAATAAAGTGCTTAGTGTGGTGCCTGCCATACAGTATATGCTCAATGAATGACAGTTATCACTATCACCATTTATGATAATTACTCATTATTATTATTCGGCATACTCTCTGAGCCCCAGGAGCTTGTATGATAGCTAGAGGGCTAAACCATACATAGTAAATTTTTTTTTTTCGAGTCTGGGTCTCACTCTGTCACCGCTGGAGTGCAGTGGTGAGGTCTTGGCTTACTGCAACTTCCGCCTCTTGGGCTCAAGCAATGCTCCCACCTCAGCCTCCCGAGTAGCTGGGACTATAGGCATGCACCACTAAACCCAGCTAATTTTTGCATTTTTTGTACAGAAAGAGTTTTGCCACATTTGCCAGGCTGGTCTTGAACTCCTGGGCTCAAGAGATCTTCCCGCCTTGGCCTTCTGAAGTGCTGTGATTACAGGCATGCGCCACTGTGTCTGTTCCATACATAGTTTTTTTTTTTTTTTTTTTTTTTTTTGAGACAGTCTCACTCTGTTGCCCACGCTGGAGTGCAGTGGTGTGATCTCGGGTCACTGCAACCTCTGCCTCCTGGGTTCAAGCAATTCTCATGCCACAGCCTCCCGAGTACTTAGGATTATAGGCACGTGCCACCATGCCTGGCTAAGTTTTGTGTGTGTGTGTGTATATATATATATATATGTATATAAATATATGTATATATGTATATATAAATATATGTATATATACATATAATTATATACATATACATATAAATAAATATATATATATATATTTATTTTAGTAGAGATGGGGTGTCACCATGTTGGCCAGGCTAGTCTCGAACTCCTGACCTGAAGTGATCCACCAGCCTGGGCCTCCCAAAGTGCTGGGATTACAGGCGTGAACTGCCATGCCCAACCCCGTTAATTCCTTGTGAATTGCCTGCTCACCATGTGCCAGGCACTGTGCTAGGTGCTGCAACTTCGGCTGTGAACAAGATGGACACGATCTCTACCTTGTTGAAGTTTATAACCTGGTGGGGAAACAGATGAAAAAATAAATAAAGACACAAATAAGTATATAATTGCATCTTGTGAAGGAAAAATGGCAGCATGGGTGGATGGTGGGAAAGGTGGTTGGAGGCATCCATTTTAGGAGGTCAGGCAGGGTCTCTCTGAAGAGGGGACACTTAAAAAGAAACCTGAAGCATGAGAAGGAAGCAGCCAACTAAGGAATGGGGAGAAGAGCTTTCCTGGCAGAGAAAACAGCACAGGCAACAGTCCTGGATAGGAAGGAGTCATGCCTATTCTAGGAGTTAAAGGTATGACTGCAGGAGGTGAGGGAGGAGGCTAGCCGCCTGGGAAAAGGCTGTGTCAGAGGCGTTGGAACCAGAGAGACTCCATCTTGAATAGGGGCTGGGTAAAATGAGGCTGAGACCTGCTGGGCTGCATTCCCTGGAGGTTAGGCATTCTTAGTGACAGGATGAGATAGGTGGTTGGCACAAGATGCAGGTCACAAAGACCTTGTTGATAGAACAGTTTTCCATAAAGAAGTCAGCTAAAACCCACCAAAACCAAGAAGGCGATGAAAGTGACCTCGGATTGTCCTCGCTGCTCATTACACGCTAATTAGAATACATTAGCATGCGAAGAGACACTCCCACGAGCGTCATGACAGTTCACAAATGCCATGGCAACGTCAGGAAGTTACCCTATATGGTCTAAAAGGGGAAGGAACCCACCGATCCAGGAATTGCCCACCCTGTTCCCAGAAAACTCATGAATAATACACCTCTTGTTTAGCATGTAATCACGAAATAACTATAAGTATACCCAGCTGAGCAGTCCATGCTGCTGCTCTGCCCATGGAATAGCCATTCTTTATTCCTTCACTTCCTTTTTTTTTTGAGACAGAGTCTCTCTCTGTCGCCCAGGCTGGGGTGCAGTGGCGCCATCTCAGCTCACTGCAAGCTCCGCCTCCTGGGTTCACGCCATTCTCCTGCCTCAGCCTCCTGAGTAGCTGGGACTAACGCCCGCCACCGTGCCCAGCAAGTTTTTTGTATTTTTAGTAGAGACGGGGTTTCACTGTGGTCTTGATCTCCTGACCTCGTGATCCTCCCACCTCGGCCTCCCAAAGTGCTGGGATTACAGGCGTGAGCCACCGCGCCCGGCCTATTCCTTCACTTTCTTAATAAACTTACTTTCACTTTACTCTATGGACTCACCCCGAATTCTTTCTTGCGTGAGATCCAAGAACCCTCTCTTGGGGCCTGGATTGGGACCGCTTTCTGATAACAGCTGGAGAAGTAGAAAGAAGCCCCATCATGCGAGGGGTACAGGGGTGGCGGCTCTTAGGCCTCAGCATGAGGGCTTTGATTGTACTTTAGGTAGAACGGGAAGCCGCTAAAAGCCTTTAAACAGGTAAAAGTCACAATACAATTTTCTTAAAAAAAAAAAAAAAAGAAAGGAAAAAACTCTGGCAAATGAATGAGGTTATTATTAGCAGTATTAACATCCACACTGAAAATAACAGACGCTGGTCTCTGTTGTGCAAAACGTCTGTCATTTCTCTCATTTACCCTGAAAACTGAACTTTTTTTCCAGGTTGTCTCACATCTATAAGACCTTCTGCTCGGAAGGAATCCCATTCTTCCCAATCTTTTTGGAATATTTGGAGCTGCTGTTACAAGTATTCTTGATCTACAGCCACAACATCTGAAGGATTTAATTACTGTAATTTAAGGGGAATGACTAAGATTTTTGCATATTTTCTTTCTCTTTCTTTCTTTCTTTCTTTTTTCTTCCTTCCTTCCTTTCCTTCTTTCTTTCCTTCCTTCCCTTCCCTTCCCCTCCCCCTCCCTCCCTCCCTCCCCCCTCCCTCCCTCCCTTCCTTCCTTTCTTCCTTCCTTCCTTCTCTCTCTCTCTCTCTCTCTCTCTCTCTCTCTCTTTCTTTATGAGACAGAGTCTCTCTCTGTTGCCCAGGCTGGAGTGCAATGGCGCAATCTCAGTTCACTGCAACCTCTGCTTCCCGGATTCAAGCAATTCTCCTGCCTCAGCCTCCTGAGTAGTTGGGACTACAGGCACCCACCACCATGCTTGGCTAATTTTTGCATTTTTAGTAGAGATGGAGTTTCACCATGTTGGCCAGGCTGGCCTCGAACTCCTGACCTCAAGTGATCTGCCCACCTCAGCCTCCCAAAGTGCTGGATTATAGGCATGAGCCACCAAGCCCGACTGAAATTTTTGCATATTTCAAGTGAGAAATTGACGCAGGAGCAAACTTACTGCACAAAGACCGACCTCTTCCGTGGGCCGTTCCCAGCCTCCAGTATCCTCCACCCACTCTAGTGTCTCATAATCTCTCTTCCTCCCTCCCAATCTCTCTTCCTCCCTCCCAATCTCTCTTCCTCCCTCCTGCTGCCCCGCAGAGAATGGTCGGCTCCCAGCTGGAGCAAGTTCATCCAGTTGAGAGGATGATGTTTGCATAATTTGAATAATAATTTTGCATAATAGAGGCTCTCTTTGAAATGATGTAAATCAGCCCTCAGTTCTCTCTTCAGATTATTATTCATTCATTCAGTGAGATCACTTTTAGGGGATGAGATAGAAATATTTACAGAAGACAGAGGATCAAGTGTGGAGGCTTTGATGATTTCTAGTGAAAAAAATGTTTTTGTCTTGTCTGGTTTGATGCATTTGAGGGTGGAGACTGGAGCTGAATGTGCAACATTTTTATGCAACGCAGTGGATCTTTTTTTTGAGACATGGTCTCACTCTGTTGCTCAGGGTGGAGTGCAATGGTGCCATCTTGGCTCACTGCAACCTCAACCTCCTGGGCTTAAGAGATTCTCCTGGCTTGGCCTCCCAAGTAGCTGGGACTACAGGTGCGTGCCACCATGCCTGGCTGATTTTTAAATTCTTTTGTAGAGACAGGGCCTCCCACAGTGTTGGGATTATGAGCATGAGCTCCCACCATGCCTGGCCTCATGACTCAGTGGATCTTAATGCGAAATTTGCCCTGGGTCAGTGGGGGTAGGGGAAAGAGGGGTAGAGGATGGGGATAAGAAGTAGGTCTAAGGGTAGGGAGGAAGGAGTGGGACCAACTCAGTCTCTGGACACCTCCTCCTGAGATATACCTGAGGATGCCTTCCCATCCTCTCTTTCTCCCTCTCTGTATCCTCTATCTTTAATGGATACAGACCTAGTATGTATTTACCCCCGCTTTAAAAAAAATTTTTTTTTTTGAGACGGAGTTTCACTCTTGTTGCCCAGGCTGGAGAGCAATGGCACGATCTCGGCTCATCGCAAACTCTGCCTCCTGGGTTCAAGCGGTTCTCCTGCCTCAGCCTCCTGAGTAGCTGGGATTACAGGCATGCACCACCACGCTCGGCTAATTTTGTATTTTTAGTACAGACGGGGTTTCACCATGTTGGTCAGGCTGGTCTCGAACTCCCGACCTTAGGTGATCAGCCCACTTCAGCCTCCCAAAGTGCTGGGATTACAGGCGTGAGCCACCACGTCCAGCCCCTCCTTTTCTAATGGAAAGAAAAATGGGCTTTGGGGCTGAGCAGACCTGTTAGTGTTCTTTGGTTGCAAGCAACGGAAACCTGTTCACTTTTGGTTAAGCCAAAGGTTTAGGAAGTAGATTGTAGGCAGGGGGCATCCAATTGGCCAAGCTTGGGTTCCATGCCTGCTTCTTGCCCTGGGGTGGTGGAGGTACCTTGCAGCCGCACCCCCCTCATTTGTGGCACTCAGAGCAAGAGTACAAAAGGAAGCCTTTACACCACTTGTCTACAAGTGATAAAGCAACCAGATAAACTATTAGATGAAGTATGATCTGTCATCCTACCTTGGCACATATACGTGAATAAGGACCTGGAAGGCCAGGTTTGAATTAGAATCTTGGAGTCCTCAGAGTTATCGACCAGCATGTGGTGACTTGGGAGGGGCCAGCCTTGGTTTATGGTCCACTCTGCTTCTCTTCTAACCCTTGGCTCTGTCCTACACTCTGAGAGGCTGGGGTGTGGACCCCCAGCCCCTGTGTTCAAGCTCTGTTTTCTAACTCCCCAAATGGCTGTCCCTTGGCCACTTCTCAGGTCTTAAGATGCCCACAGTGGTGGCATGGTTCACTCTTTGGAGGACGACCTGGGAAAGGGGCCCAGGCTGGCCCTGAAGCAGGAGCCCTGGGTACCTGGATGAGCTCTAGAAGGAGGGGCATGGACTCAGGGTGGGCGCATCCCTGGGACCCCACAAACGCTTTACCCACATGGCCAGAGGCCAAGCAGGACCCTTTAAAGAGCAGTCCCCAGGGCAGGGTGGGCCTGGCACCAAAATTGACAGCCTGCTCGTCTGTAGCAAAAGGGGCAGGGCAATTCCTCAAATCAAAAAGGAAATGGAAGCTGCGTAGAGAGGAGACAAATATCAACCCCACCTGAGGTCTTATCTAGGCTTTTCTGCAGCTAGGGGTCTTTTGGTAGCAAGAAAGAAAAACCCAGCCGGGCACGGTGGCTCACTCCTGTAATCCCAGCACTTTGGGAGGCTAAGCCGGGCAGATCACCTGAGGTCAGGAGTTCAAGACCAGCCTGGCCAACATGGTGAAACCCCATCTCTACTAAAAATATAAAAATTAGCTGGGCATGTTGATGGGCACCTGCAATCTCAGCTACTCGAGAGGCTGAGGCAGGGAGAATTGCTTGAACTGAGGAGGCGGAGGTTGCAGTGAGCCAAGATTGCTCACTGCACTCTAGCCTGGGTGACAGAGCAAGACTCCGTCTCAAAAAAAAAAAAAAGAGAAACTCACTCTGACACTGGCTTGAGCCCAAGGAGTCTCTGTGGTGGTGGTGGTGGTATCCATAGGGGTGGCTCACGGACCCAGGAAGGTGGAAGTATGGCCAGTCCTCTTGAGGAACAGGAGTCAGGACTGAGAAGCTGCTGAGGATCAGGGCGTCTCTCCTCTCTATCTCTACTCTTCTATGCATCTAACAGCAGAGTGGCTTCACGGGCTTTCCTCAAGGACTCGAAAGAGATACAACATGGGGATCTCAAACTTAGAACCTTTGTCAGGCAGGTGATGTCAATGGGAACAACAGTGGAGGGAAACTCACAGGGCCTTCTCAGTTCCCTTTTCTTTTCTTTTAAGAGACAAGATCTCGCTCTGTTATCCAGTCTGGAATGCAGTGGCACGATCATAGCTCACTGCAGCCTTGACCTCCTGGGCTTAAGCGATCTTCCCACCTCAGCCTCCTGAGTAGCTGGAACTACAGATGTGCACCACCATGCCCAGCTAATTTTTAAGATTTTTTGTAGAGACAGGGTCCCACCATGTTGCCCAGGCTGGTCTTGAACTCCTGGGCTCAAAAGATCCTCCTGCCTTGGCCTCCCAAAGTGAGGGGATTAGAGGCATGAGCCACTGTGGCTGACCCGTCTCCCTTTCTTGATAGGAACATGGCATATCAGTCAGGAAACAGATGACAAATCCTCATTAGGATGCCCCGAGGAGGCAGGGTTAACACAGGGACTGTTTACTAAGGTATGGATCAGCTGTGGGAAGCCACAGGGCCAGTACCCCAGGGCTAGTTCTGAAAGAGCTGTCACCATTCCTATGCCCAAAAGGATAGGGATGGGAGTGGTTCTGGAATCCAGAAGCCGTGGGTGGTTGGAGAGGGCTGCCTGGACAGCAGATGTGGCCTTCCTTGGAGAGTTGCAGTCAGTCCTCAGCAACCCCACTGGGAGCCAGTCAAATAAATAACCTGACAGCACACTCTTCATGCCCTGGATCTCCTGCTGGCATTGCCCATTGGCCAAACCCAACTGAAATCCTGAGAGCCCATTCATGCAGTCCTTGGGCAGGATGGGGAAGCCAGAGAGGGGTGTGGAGGGGCAAAGGGAAGACAGCTGCCACGTGTGGGTATAAGAGACATTTCCCTGCTGAAAGGCATACCATAGCTTAAACCTGAGGGACGATGTTCATGGATACTGGGTCTTGGGAAGCGAATGAGATGTTGTGGTTCATGGGACCAAGAGGAAAGTACAAACCCCCTTTTAACCACTCAGCTCTGGCCAATTATTGCCATGCAGGAGTGTGGGCTCCTAGTGGCAGGGGCTCTGAACTTGGAAGAGAAGTAGGCAATCCAGAATCTGAAATTATGAAATTTCAAGATTAAATCATATTGGCAACTAGTTAAAACAAACAAAAATAGTTTTAAAATGCTGTATGAGTCCAGTAAATCCCATTCACAAGCCAGATTTGGCCCGAGGATGCTCTAAACAGAAACTCATTTGGGGCTTTTGTCTCAATTCCAAATTCCCCAGGAAGGAGAGATGCTGTTTGATGTTTTTTTTTTTGTTTTTGTTTTTTTTTGAGATGGAGTCTTGTTCTGTCACCCAGGCTGGAGTGTAGTGGTGTGATTTTGGCTCACTGCAATCTCTGCCTTTTGGGTTCAAGTGATTCTCCTGCCTCAGCCTCCCTAGTAGCTGCGACTACAGGTGCATGCCACCACGCCTGGCTATTTTTTTATTTTTAGAGACGAGGTTTTCCTGTGTTGGCCAGGTTGGTTTTGAACTCCTGACCTCAAGTGATCAGCCTGCCTCAGCCTCCCAAAGTGCTGGGATTACAGGCGTGAGCTACTGAGCCTGGCCTATTTGACCTATTTTGGTTTGGCTGTCCCTCCCAGGTGCAATCAGTCGTGGCCAGGAGGGGTCATGTCCCTGCTGCTCACTCAGCTCGGGACAGGATAGTCCCTCTGAGAGCTGAGCATGTGCCCTTGGAAAGCAGTCAATGATCTGTGGGTCTAATCGCAATCACTTACTCCTCTGTGATGGGGAAGTGTGTGCTTGTCTTCCATGGCTGCTGTAATGAATGACCACAAACTCGGGCTTAAAAACCACAGATTCATTATCTGACAGTTCTGAAAGTCAGAACTGCAATGGGCTAAAGGCAATAGGCAAAAATCAAGGTGTCAAAAAGCTGCATTGCTTTTTGGAGTCTTTTTTTTTTTTTTTTTTTTTTTTTGAGACAGAGTCTCGCTCTGTTGCCTAGGCTGGAGTACAGTGGTGTGATCTCAGTTCACTGCAACCTCTGCCTCCCAGGTTCAAGGGATTCTCCTGCCTCAGCTGTAATCCCAGGTAGCTGGGATTACAGGTGTGTGCCACCATGCCTGGCTAATTTTGTATTTTTTAGTAGAGACAGGGTTTCACCATGTTGGTCAGGCTGGTCTCAAACCTGACCTCAGGTGATCCACCCACCTTGTCCTCCCAAAGTGCTAGGATTACAGGCACGAGCCACTGCGCCCGGCCCACTTTTTGGAGGCTTTAGGGGGAGAATCTGTTTCCTTGCCTTCTTCAGCTTCTTAGAGCAGTGGTCCCCAACCTTTTTGGCACCAGGGACTGGTTTCATGGAAGACAGTTTTTCCGCGGGATGGTGATGGTGTAGGGGATGGTTTCAGGATGATTCAAGTATATCACATTTATTGTGCACTTTATTTCTATTATTATTACATTGTAATGTATAATGAAATAATTATACAACTCACCATAATGTAGAATCAGTGGGAGCCCTGAGCTTGTTTTTCTGCAAGTAGATGGTCCCATCTGGGAGTGATGGGAGACAGTGACAGATCATCAGGCATTTGATTTTCATAAGGAGTGCACAAGCTAGATCCCTTGCATGAGCAGTTCACGATAGGGTTCGTGCTCCTATGAGAATCTAATGCCGCAGCTGATCTGACAGGAGGCGGAGCTCAGGTGGTAATGTGAGAGATGGGGAGTGGCTATAAATACAGATGAAGCTTTGCTCACTTGCCTGCTGCTTGCCTCCTGCTGTGTGGCCTGGTTCCTAAGAGGCCACAGACAGTACCAACCGGTGGCCTGGGGGTTGGGGACCCCTGTCTTAGAGGATGCCTGCATTCTTTGGCTCATGGCCCCTTCAACCTTCAAAGCCAGTAACAGCTGGTTTAGTCTTTCTCATGTTGCATTCCTTTGACTCTGCCTCCCTCATATATATATATATATATATATGTGTGTGTGTGTGTGTGTGTGTGTGTGTGTGTGTGTGTGTGTATTTTGAGACACAGTCTCACTCTGTTGCCCAGGCTGGAGTGCAGTGGCATGATCATGGTTCACTGCAGCCTCGACCTCCTGGGCTCAAGTGATCTTCCCATCTCAGCCTCCCAAGTGCTCTTCAATCTTTAAAGGACCCTTGTGATTACATTGAGTCCACCCAGATAATCCAGGATAATTTCTTTATTTTAAGGTTAGCAAACTTAATTCTGTTTAATTTTTAAAAAGTTCTTTTGTTTCACTCTGTCGCCCAGGCTGGAGTGCAGTGGTACAATCATGGCTCACGGCAGCCTCCATTTCCTTTGCTCAAGCGATGCTCTTGCCTCAGCCGCCCAAGTAGCTGGGACTACAGGTGTGCAAAATCAAGCCTGGCTAATTTTTTTGTTTGTTTGTTGTTGTTGTTCTTGTTGTTGTTTTGTAGAGACGGGGTTTCTCTGTGTTGCCCAGGCTGGTCTCAAACTCCTGGGCTCAAGTGATCCTCCCACCTTGGCCTCCCAAAGTGCTGAGATTACAGGTATAAGTCACTGCATCCAGCCAACAAACTTAATTCTATCTGCAACCATAATTACCCTTTGCACCATGTAAAGTAACATATTCACAGGTTCCAAGGATTAGGATGTGGATATCTTGTGGGGGGTGGGGGGGGTGTTATTCTGTCTACCACAAGGCAGTTTCTGAACTTTGCTAGTCATCCATAATATATGGGTAACCCTGACTTCTTCATGGGTTGTTAACGGGTTCAGATGAGAGAACCTATGCAATACACCTGGCGCAGTCCGTGGCACACAGCAGGCATTCCTGTTAGTCCCTTTCCCTTCTCCTCCTTGGGCTATTGGCTTCAGTGTGGCTGAGCGTGTTTCTTCAGCTGTTAAATGACGTAGATATATCAGTCCCGCCTACCTCAAAGTGCTGTTCCTTTCTTCCTTCATTCACTTTCTCATTCACTCATGCAACAAATATGTATTGAGGGCCTACGATGCGTGAGACGCTTGTGCTAGGTGCCGGAGCAGAGCCGCAGATAAGGGAGACATGAGGTTTATTTTCAGGTGAGGAAGGAAATAGTGAGAAAACAGATAAACAATCCTAATTTGGTATAGTAATAAGTACAAGAAGACAAAGTAGGGTAAGAGAACACAGAAGGGTGGAGATGGTGGAGGGTGGGCAGTGGGATGCTATTTTAAATAGAGAGGTCAGAAAGAGCATGTCTAGGCTGGGTGCGGTGGCTCACCCCTATAATCCCAGCACTTTGGGAGGCTGAGGTGGGCGGATCACTTGAGTCCAGGAGTTTGAGACCAGCCTGGCCAACAAGGTGAAACCCCATCTCTACTAAAAATACAAAAATTTGCCGGGTGTATTGGCACATGCCTGTAATCTCAGCTACTCGGGAGGTTGAGGCAAGATAATCGCTTGAACCTGGGAGGCAGAAGTTGCAGTGAGCTACACTCCATCCTGGGTGACAGAGTGAGACTCTATCTCAAAAAAAAAAAAAAAAGAAAAGAAAGAAAGAAAGAAAGAGCATGTCTGAGTGACATGAGAAATGACAGTGAGTGTTTGTTGATCGCCTGAATGACATGATGCTGATTTCCAGCTTGATTGTGGCAGAAGTGGATAAGCTGATTGCTGGTAATCAGTTTAATTATGTAAGATTCCTTTCACAACATTTTAAGATTTTCTGGCTTCTCTTTTCTGTGTTGCATTTTACTAGCATTGAAAGAAGTGACCCAAAGCATAGATTCATTTTTCCTTTTGGAACTGGACAGATATTTCTCAGATTTAGCTGCTATTCCTCCTGGAGGCCTCTCAAAGGCAGCAGGAAGAGAGACCCTGACAGCTCTGTCCCCAGCTCTGTTTGTGACCTGCTCCACTTGCTTGGCAGCTGGGAACCTCAGCAGCCTCATTAACGTTGGAAAGCACTTTGGGTCTCTTGCTGAAAGACGCTAGGAAAGGCAGGTCATAATTATTTTGTTTTTCCTACATCTTCAAGGCCGTCAGATGCAGCTTGAACCTTCTCCATCAAGAACAAGAGGCTGGCCGGGCGCAGTGGCTCATGCCTGTAATCCCAGGACTTTGGGAGGCCGAGGCAGGAGAATTGCTTGAATCTGGGAGCTGGAGGTTGCAGTGAGCCAAGATCGCGCCACTGCACTCCAGCCTGGGCAACAGAGCTAGGCTCTGTCTATTAAAAAAAAAAAAGAACAAGAGGCTGCAGTTAGTGCAGGGAGGAGAGGAGATGGGCAAGGAAGAGAGAGGCTGAGGCTGGAAAGTGGGAAGGAAGACAGGCAGTGACTGCTCCTGGCCTCTGGCTGAGGATGGGTCATAGGCAGGCCAGTCCCCTCCCATGCCTGTGATGCGTGTTTGCATGTTGCTGGTGACATCAGCATCTTAGAGTCCATCTCCAATCAGACCCATTTCCCTTTCCACACTAGAACATAGCTCCATGACCCCTGGTGGCCTCTGAAAGTCGTTGTGGGGTGGTTTGCAGAGCCACTGGGAGAGGGACATTGGCTGAGGCAGACGATAAAAATGATAATAGCAGCCAGTCGAGTTAGCTGACGCCTGTAATCCCAGCAATTTGGGAGGCCAAGGTGGGAGAATCACTTGAGGTCAGGAGTTCAAGACAAGCCTGGACAAAATGGTGAAACCCCATCTCTACTAAAAATACAAAAATTAGCTGGGTGTGGTGGTGTGCGCCTATAGTCCCAGCTACTGGGGAGGCTGAGGTGGGAGGATCACCTGAGCCCAGGAGGTGGAGATTGCAGTGAGCTATGATCGCGCCACTGCACTCCAGCTTAGGCAACAGAGCGAGACCCTGTCTTAAAATAAATAAATAAATAACTACTACTACTGCCACTAATAGCAGCTTTGATTCACTGTGCACCAGCTCACTTGCCTTCTCATCCATAGCCCTGTTGGGAATGATTATCCCCATTTTACAGGTGAGGAAACTGAGGCTCACCAAAGGTAGGTGATATGCCTATGAGCTGGGATTCGAACTCAGTTTTATTTGGAGTCAGTATAGTCTATTGATTCTACTTTTATTTAGTTAATTAATTAATTAATTAATTTTATTATACTTTAAGTTCTGGGGTACATGTGTAGAACGTGCAGTTTTGTTACATAGGTATACACAAGCCATGGTGGTTTGCTGCACACATCAATCCGTCATCTACATTAGGTTTTTCTCCTAATGGTATCCCTCCCCTAGACCCCACCCCCGACAGGCCCCAGTGTATGATGTTCCCCTCCCTGTGTCCGTGTGTTCTCATTGTTCAGCTCCCACTTATGAGTGAGAACATGCGATGTTTGGTTTTCTGTTCTTGTGTTAGTTTCCTGAGAATGATGATTTCCAGCTTCATCCATGTCTCTGCAAAGGACATGAACTCATGCTTTTTAATGGCCGCATAGTATTCCATGGTGTCTACGTGTCACTGATTCTACTTTTAAAATATACTTAGTACCTCCCTTCTCTTCCCCATGCCTGCTGGGGAGCCCGCTGCTCCCACCTGGTCCATGCACCATCACCTTTTACCTGGACTATTGCAATAGCCTCTTCCTGGGTCTCCCTGATTATGTCCTCCCCACTCCCTTCCACCTTATAGTCTGTTCTCAAACCAGCAGCCTGAGGAATGCTACTCAAAGTTCTCCTGTGACTCCCCTACGGTAAAAGCCAAAAGTCTTACTCTGGTTATAAGCCCCAGATGTTCTCTCTCTGTCCTGCAATTCATCTCCTTGCTCACTGTAGTTGAGTTATACAGGCCCCCTGACTCTTCCTTAAGCAGACCAGACACGCTCTTACCACAGGGTCTTTGCACTGGCTGTTGTTCCCCCTGCCTGGAATACTCTTCCTCAAATATCCACATAGGCTTGTTTCCTTTTAAAGTCTCTACCCAGGAGCCATCTCATTGACCCTTCTCTGACAGCCCTGTTGACACTTGCAATTATTTCCTAGTACCCTAATTGCTCCTTCTTTCCTTCTTTTTCTCTCTAGCACCTCTCATTATCTAACATACTCTTTGACTTACTTATTTTGTGTGTGGTTCACGCTTATCCATGAGAACATCAGCTCCATGGCAAGGCATTTTGTCTGTCTTACTCTCTGCTGCATTCCCAGCACCAAGAATAGCGCCTGGCACCTAGTAGGCGCTCAATAAATATTTGTTGAATGAATGACTCTGAAGCCATCATTCTGTCCACCACACAAACTGCCACCTTCCTACACCGACTTCTTGTCTATAAGAATTCCACATCCTTGCCAACACTTGCTATGGTCATGTTTCCATTTTCTCTAACTTATGGCTGTAAAATGGTATCTGATTGTGGTTTTAACATGCATTTCTTGAGATGCCTGGGCACTCAGGTACTGACATGTCTGAGGGACAGAGAGTGGGTCTTTGTCTCCCTCTGGCTGGAAGTCCAGAGCTCCAAAATAGACCATCTCCCAGCATTTTTTGAGAAAATGGGAAATGAGTCTTTGTTTTGGGTTATAATAAGATAAGCAACTCATGTACAACAAAAGTTAGCATCTGCTCTGCACACAAGGTTTAATATTTAGAGATAATTTAAAACCAAGGAAAAGGCAGAGTTATTAATAAACACTTGGGGGGAGGTGTGAAGAGAGAGTATGAAAATCTCCATTTGAAAAAGCTACTGTAGTTAGCATCCAAAATAAGACCTTACTTAGCATTCGGTTCTGCTCATTTGCAAATTAAGAGATGTATTGTTTTAAAAATAATTAAGTCTAATTTTGCATGTTTGGGAGATGGCTCTCCACTGGCTTTAAAAATCTTTATTTATCAGTAATGTTCTGAATACAGATTTTTTTTCTTTTTCGAGACAGAATCTTGCTCTGTCGTCCAGGCTAGAGTGCAGTGGCACAATCTCAGCTCACTGCAACCTCTGCCTCCCAGGCTCAAGCAATCTTCCCACCTCAGCCTCCCAAGTAGCTGGGACTACAGGCATGTGCCACCACACCTGGCTAATTTTTGTGTTTTTTTTTTGGTAGAGATGGTGGGGTTCTGTCATGTTTCCCAGGCTGGTCTTGAACTCCTGGGCTGAAGCGATCCTCCTGCCTTGGCCTCCCAAAGTGGTGTGATTATAGGCATGAACCACTGCGCCTGACTCTGAATACAGATTAATCTCCATCGCTAAGCTAAGTGTTTGCTGTTCTAGGTAGTCACAAATGTTCACTAAGGCAAGCCACAGTTGAAGCTGAAGTCGCTACAGGAGTGATGTCTGGGGTCCCCAGGAATTACTTTGGGGTTCTATAGATCCCCAGAATTCCTGTCATTTACAGCAGGGATCTTAGCAACCACTGAGCCCAGTTTTCTTCATTTTTACAGGTAAAGACATAGAAGCTCAGAGAGATGAAGAGGCTTTTCTGAGGTCACACAGTAGGGCAGTGGAAGAACTCAGATTAGAATACAGGCCTTTTCTAGCCTTATAAATGGTATTTTCAGCTGGGTATGGTGGCTCACACCTGTAATACCAACACTTTAGGAGGCCAAGACGGGAGGATTGCTTGAAACTAGGAGTTTGAGACCAGCCTGGGAAGCAAAGTGAGACCCCACCTCTACAAAAATAAAAATAAAAATAAATTAGCTGGGTGTGGTGGCATGCACCTGTAGTCCCAGCTACTCAGGTGGCTGAGGCAGGAAGATAGCTTGAGCTCAGGAGTTCAAGGCGACAGTGAGCTACGATGGCACCACTGCACTCCAGCCTGGGTGACAGAGCAAGACCTTGTCTCTAAAGATATAAAAACAGACAAAAATAAATAAATAAATTGTATTTTCCATCAAACCTGTGTATCTCATATTTCAGTTACGCTTTTAACATATCCCTGTACCACCCATACTATTGTTTAGTGAACTCTTTTTTCCCCTTAAATCAATTCACTTTTAAAAATGTAAAGACATTTATTTAAAAGGAAAAATGTCACAAATATAAATGGAAAATCCTATTGCTTGCCAAATAGAAAGTAAATGACAATAAATATGAGGCAAACAAAACAACGTTATTAAGCTCTAGTAAGGCAACTTGCTTGATAAAACGTCAACTCTTGTGAAACAAAAGTTAGCATCTGCTCCGACACCAGGTTTAATACCGAGGGATATCTAGGGATGCTTAAAGCCCTGGGCCGAGACCTGCTCCCTCTTTGTTAAAAGGAGACATTAGCAAAGGCAGGAGAGGTTTCAGAACCCTGTAGCACCAACCTGAGACTTTCTCCTCCTCATAAGCAGAAGGATTGGAAGGGAATGGAAAAGGGAATGAATTTCTCCCAAGGTGATTGCGTGCAATCTCAACAACCACCACAAGTCCTCGCTCTAGATGAATCTGGACAGCGAGAACTTCTTTTGAAACCATGCTCCAAAGAGTTAAAGAGACAAAAGACTAACAGAAAATCTTGAGTTTGCAGGATGGCAGATTAGAAAAGGAACAACTTGCTGACACACGGAAACTCCCTCCACTTAGGAGATAAAGG
The DNA here is from genome assembly GCF_000001405.40 of Homo sapiens. NCBI lineage: Eukaryota > Metazoa > Chordata > Mammalia > Primates > Hominidae > Homo > Homo sapiens. The sequence continues at coordinate 112,555,985 of NC_000012.12, forward strand.
AACTGGCTGAACTTGGTTGGACCCAGTAGGGCCAACTGGAGTCTGCGCAGAACGGGCTTGCTGACGTCACAGCCTGAATTTCCACCATGTGTTTCATACTAACTCCCTTCATATTTGCACATGAGACCCATGAGATAGCAGGAAGAGATGACTGTGCGTGCCCCAAAACTTTCCAGCCTTCCTCTTTCCTTCCACCAATCACCTGCTAATCCCAATATCCACCTCCTAAACCTTTTCTAATAACATTACTGCTTAAAGCCAGCCCTGGAGACAAGATTTGAGGTTGATTCCTGTCTCATCTGGAGCTGACTTTCAATATAAAGCTTTTCTTTTCTCAAAATCCCAGTGTCATGGTATTGGTTTTCTAGCCCATCAGGCAACAAGTCTATTTTGCTTGATAGCATTTTCTCCTTCTTTTCTTCCCTCCCTCCCCATGCTTATAAGACTCTCACAGGACACTGTCCCTACAGTTTTGGGGCTCACAGCCTGATGAGAATGAATGTCTACTCTAGACTTGTCATTGAAAAGAACTTGACCTTCCATGGGTGGACAACTCTAAAGACTCACTCAAGAGGGCAGCTTGAGGGCACGGTATTGTTTGAGTCATTGTCATTGCATGGGGATAAAGCGAGCCACCTTCTCAGTGGATGTTTGTGTGGTGCCCTACAGGTTGGAGATTGTGGAGTGCGCAAGAAGGAAGAGGAGGAAGTGGGGAAGAGAGGAGGAGAGGATGAAGGGAGGGAGGCTAGGTTGGTTCTCGTCTTCACTTAAGAGGATATGGCTGAGACTGCTGACTGCCCCCAGTACTGGTTCTCCCATCGCTCAATAGTCGTAGGACAGCCACCTAGAAGAAAGAATATATTTCCCAGCTTCCAGTGTGGCTAGGTAAGGCCCTGTAGTAGATGATATATAAGGGGAAGTGTCAGATAGCAGCTTCCAGGATTTTTTTTTTTTTTTTTTTTGAGACAGGGTCTGGCTCTGTCACCCAGGCTGAAGTGCAGTGGCATGACCTCAGCTTACTGCAACGTCTGCCTCCCAGGTTCAAGCCCTCCTCCCACCTCTGCTTCCCAATTAGCTGGGACTACAGGTGTGCACCACTATGATTGGCTAATTTTTTGTATTTTTTGTAGAGACAAGGTCTCACTTTTTTGCTTAGGCTGGTCTTGAACTCCTGAGCTAAAGTGATCTGCCCACCTCGGCCTCCCAAAATGCTGGGATTACAGGTGTAAGCCACCATGCCTGGCCCAGAAGGAATCTTCTTTAAAAGATAGCTGTTTGGGGGCTGGACACGGTGGCTCATGCCTGTAATCTCAGCACTTTGGGAGGCCAAGGCAGGAGGATTGCTTGAGGCCAGGAGTTCAAGACCAGCCTGGGCAAAACAGTGAGACCCTCTGTCTCTACAATAATAATAATAAAAAAATAGCCCGCCACGCTGGTGCACACCCTGTAGTCCTAGCTACTCAGGAAGCTGAGGTGGGAGGATCACCTGAGCCCAGGAGTTGAGGTTGAGCCCACCATGAGCTATGATCACACCACTGTACTTCAGCCTGGGCAACAAGAATGAGACCTTGTCTCTTAAAAAAAAAAAAAAAGATGGCTGTTTGGGCCCTTTGCTTTTATCTCTTCATCTCTTCCTCTTTCCAGTATCCTGGAATTTGGATGTGATGGTTGGAATCAGGCAGCCATATTCAGTTATGAAGTGATCCTGAGAATGGAGTCTTCATATAGCGGAACAACAAGACAGAAGGAGTCTGGTCCCTGAGCCTCTGCTTTTTTTTTTTTTTTTTTTGTAAAAGAGAAACTTCCATCTTGTTAAAGTTCCTGTTATGTTGGGTCTCTACTGTTCATCGCCAAACTTTATTCTAAAATAAAAGGACAACAAGTGAACCCTGGATTAGGAATTAGAAGACCTGGGCCTAGCCCCATTTCTCCAACTCATATTCCATGTGAATTTGGGGATGGAAAAGGATAAATAGCCCCTGTGTTGCAGTCCCTGGCATCCCTGGTTATTTTAAGCATCCAATGAGGTTTGCCCCTTGGGAGCTCTCAGTTCTGCTCAGAGCCCCATGTGCTTCTATTCCAAGGCAATGGTGGGGGCAGGGTGCCCTGGGAAGGAGCAGAGTGGGGGCTGGTTTCTGCCCGAGTTTATCTTAGGTCTTACCCTGTTGAGTAGGCGATCGAGGCACAAGTGGTACCCAGAGGTGTGAGAGCATTCTGTGTTAGAGGGATAGCAGTCTTTGCTAACTGCTAAATAGCATCACAAAGGGATTATGTCTGTCCTTAAACCACCTTATCTTTCATCCTTCAAACCATGCCAAGCACGTATCCATAAAAGAGCAAATAGCCCCTTTCTCTCTTCCCCTCATAACATCCTCAGCAGCTGCACGATTGTTATGTATTTTAAATAAAGCATTTAAAGCCACTCAGAATGTAGCAACAATCACCATGGATACTCATCACTGAAATCCTTTGTTGCCGTGGCAACAGTCCACCCTTCCCCGCCTTCCCCCACCACCCATCTTGCCTGTTTACCCTGAAACTGACATGTTGGTTATGGTGAATGATAGGAAAAAATTTCAGAGGAACTTCCAAGGGCACAGAAGCATGAAATATCTTGCCAGAAAATAGGTATTTTTCCATTATTGTAATAACTATGTTTCACTCTCCTATTTTATCAAGGATAGATGACTATTATTATGGGGGGACAAGAGGAAGATCAATGATGAATTAGAGCTAAAACAATCCCTTTTGTCATATCCTTTAGGTGATTTTTAATAGCCATTCTTGCTGCATTGAAAATGTGGTTGGTAGCAACCCAGGAGTATTAAACTGTTGGTACATTTGACCCACTTCCTGCAATTTTTGAAAACACTTCAAGAAAACTCTTTAGGAGGGAAAACCAATCTGTACAAAGGTATTCATAGCAGGCTTTATGGGATGGTAAGAAACAAGAAACAGACATATGCCTGGTGTTAGGGTTATGTGAAGTGATCAGAGTGGGACATGGCGTGATTCTTCGAAGCTTTGACAAATGACAGGTAGGACATGGCTGTACATTTGCTAGTTCAGAGGAATAATGTGAAAAGAATCAAGCAAGGTGTAATTGATCCCAACAACTACAGGTATGAGCTCTGAAAACATGTATGTGCTTTAAGCAAGATTGGGAGAATCTGGAGATTCTGAGCTCCTCCTGGGTCGGTGATCTTTTTGAGAATCTGAGAATGCCTTAGACTATCTCCCCAGGAAAATTCCTAGACATGCAACATTTTGCATATAATTGTAGGAGATTCATGGCTCCCCTGATGCCCATTCAAGGACTACTTAGTCCTCCCCACAAAGGTCCATCAACTCCAGGTTTATCATTTATTTATTTTTATAGAGACAGGGCCTCACTATGGTGCCCAAGCCGGTCTCGAACTCCTGGGCTCAAGTGATCCACCCGCCTTGGCCTCCTAAAGTGCTGGGATTACAGGCATGAACCACTGTGCTTGGCCAACTGCATACCTTAAAGACACACTCACAGGCCCCCATGAGGCACATACAAGGATAATCATTGACTGTGGAGGTAGAAGTTGGAGTAATCTATTTGCCCACATTGGAAAGGAAGATGTGAGGTAGGAAATCAGCAAGACCTGTTTTCTAAGCACTGGCCATGACCCTGGTCACAACCCCGCTGATCAAAACAGAATCTGGTCAAAATAGGATGCAGTAAAGGGACTGGTTGAAACCAGCTAAAATCAAGATAGCAACGAAAATGGCTTCTAGTTGTCCTCATTGCTCATTATACACTAATTATAATGCATTTTGCATGCTAAAAGACATTTCCACCAGTGCCATGACAGTTTGCAAATGCCATGGCAATGTCCAAAAGTTACTTTACATGGTTTAAAAGGGGAGGAACCCTGGGTTCTGGGAACTCTCCACCCCTTTTCTAGCAAATCTGTGAATAACCCACCCCTTATTTAGCATATAGTTAAGGAGTAGCTATAAATGTAGCTAGCCAGCAATCCAGGACTGCTACTCTGCCTATGCAGCGGCCATTTTCTTCTACTCTGTTTTGCTTTCACTTTACTGTGTTGGCTTGCTCTTAAATTCTTTCCTACGTGAAGCCAAGAACCCTCCTGGGGTGAGCCCCAATTTTGGGGTTTGTCTGCCTCAGATGGGTGAAATAAAGGGGCTTTGCACCCAGTAGGTGCTCAGGTAAATTTTTCCTCCAATTTTAACTCATTATTATTTTTTTCTCCAATTAAAAAAATATTTATTTATTTATGAGACAGGGTCTTACTCTGTCACCCAGGCTGGAGTGCAGTGGCATGATGATGGCTCATTGCAATCTCCATCTCCTGGGCTCAAGCGATCCACCCGCCTCAGTCTCTTGAGTAGCTGGAACTACAGGCACATGCCACTACGCCTGGCTAACTTTTGTATTTTTTGTAGAGAGGGGGTTTCACCATGTTGCCCAGGCTGGTCTCAAACTCCAGGGCTCAAGAGATCCGCTCACCTTGGCCTCCCAAAGTGCTGGGATTACAGGTGTGAGCCACTGCATTTGGCCTCATCATTATTATTATTTTAAGACAGGGTCTTCCTCTGTTGCCCAGGCTGGAGTGCAGTGGTGTGATCATAGCTCACTGCAGCCTCCAATTCCTGGGTTTCTAGTGATCCCCCCAACTCAGCCTCCCAAAATGCTTGGATTACAGGTGTGAGCTACTGTGCTTGCCTTTAACTCATATTGAAGTAAAACATTCATACAAAGAAACACATAGATCACTAAGTGTGTAGTTTGATGAATTATCACAAACTGAACATACCAATGTAACCAGCATTCAGGTCAAGAGACAGAATGTTACAGTCCCCAGCCCCCAAGTCCCCATGTGTCCTCTTCTAGTCACTGTCCTTCAACAAGAGGAACCACTATTTTGACTTCTATTAACATATATTGATTTTGCCTATTTTTGCACTCTATGTAAATGGAATCATACAGTATGTACTCTTTTGTGTCTGACTTCTTTTGCTCAACACTGTATTTGTGGGATTCATCCATGTTGCTGTATGTAGTTGTAAAACATTTATTTGCATTGCTGTATAGTATTCTATTTTGTAAATATGCCACAATTTTTCATCCTGTTTACTGTTGAACATTTTGGTTGTTTCTAGTTTTTGTTTTGTTTGCTATTATGAATACTACCTGGAACCTTTTAGCACATGTCTTCTAGTGAGCAAATGGAAGCATTTTTCTTTAGAATATACCTAGGAATGGAATTGCTGGGTTGGAGTGTGCATGCATGTTCAGTTTTAGTAGACAGAACAATTTTCTGAAGTCATTGTGCTGATCTGCACTCCCTTTTCAGGGAATTCTGCGTGTGTCTCCACCTTTATGTCAGTCACACCATTTCAGGGCTCACCATTCCCAGTAAAGCCACTTGTGGAAATAACCACCTCTTGTCTGACCCCTCATGTCAATTTCTTTCTTGTTTGTGAACCAGCTCATCTCTGTCCATATGAATTAGCTCCTTGAAAAGGCTTCTGTCTTTCCACCAGTTGCTTTGAAAACATGGTGATATGGTTTGGCTCTGTGTCTCCACCCAAATCTCATGTTGAATCCCTAGTGTTGGTGGAGTGACCTGGTGGGAGGTGACTGCATCAAGGGGGGTGGACTTCCCCCTTGCTGTTTTTATGATGGGGAGCAAGTTCTCACAAGATGTGGTTGTTTAAAAGCGTGTAGCATTTCCCCCTTCGCTCTCTCTCTCCTCCTCTGCCATGGTAAGGCGTGCTTGCTTCCCCTTTGCCTTCTGCCTTGACTGTAACTTTCCTGAGGCCTCCCAGCCATGCTTCCGGTACAGCCTGCAGAACTGTGAGTCAATTAAACATCTTTTCCTCATAAATTACCCAGACTCAGATAGTTCTTTATACCAGTGTGAGAACGGACTAATACACATTGGATGCTAATGTTTGTTGAATACATGAGTGACTGATTCAGTTCTTCTGGAACAAATCCTAAATATTTGCCCTCTTGTTTTTATTTTGGAGCCATGCTTTAAGAGGAAAATTCTGAACGGTTTTAAAATACTAAGTTAAAAGCACACCAACAGTGGAAAATGACCACATTACCCTAAGACTCAGTTTATGCCACAATCACTGCAAGGCAGGAAAAAGCTTTGGCCCTAGTGTAGCTAGAATAAAGGTAATTTCTGGAATTTGCCTCCAGGATTGGGTTGTAACCTGCCAATTTGAGCTGTGAGGTTTGCTTCTGTTGTGGGTTATTTCCCAGAGATTAAATGTTTCAAACTCATCATTTGTCATGGGCCCTGGCAGGCCTTGGTCTTGTCATCAGAGTATGGGAATGGAAGGAAAAGCACAGAACTGGCTGGGCATGGTGGCTCACACCTATAATCCCAACCAAGGGATTTGGGAGGCTGAGGCGGGTGGATCACCTGAGGTCAAGAGTTCGAGACCAGCCTGGCCAACATGGTGAAACCCCATCTCTAATAAAAATACAAAAATTAGCCTGGTGTGGTGGCGGGTGCCTGTAATCCCAGCTACTCGGGAGGCTGAGGCAGGAGAATCGCTTGAACCTGGGAAGCGGAGGTTGCAGTGAGCCGAGATTGCGCCATTGCACTGCAACCTAGGCAACAGAGTGAGACTCTATCTCAAAAAAAAAAAAAAAAATGTAAAAGTGCAGACTCGCACTGAGTACCTAGCACAGGATGGGCCCTGGGCTAGGTGCTATCTCCTGCAATAGCTCATTTAATTTAATTGAGTTTCACAATAATACCAGCATCCTCTTCTCTAATCTTTCCACTCTCAGAGAATAGCATTTTCATTCACCTAGTCACTAAAACCAGAAATTTAAGAGTTATCCTTGACAGCTTTCTCTCCCTCATCCCTACATCTGATCCATCACCAGGCCCTGCTGTACCTTCCCACTTCTCCCTATCCCTACTGCCACCATCCTGGGTGAAGCGACCACCATCTCCTGCCTGAACCACTGCAGCAGGCTCCGAGCTAGATTTCTGCTCCCATTTCTGTTGCCTACAGTCTGTTCTCCAGAAAAATCACTCTACGTGGCCAGGCGTGGTGGCTCATGCCTGTAATCCCAGCACTTTGGGAGGCTGAGGCAGGAAGATTGCTTGAGGTCAGGAATTCAAGACCAGCCAGGGCAACATGGCAAAACCCTGTCTCTACAAAAAATACAAAAGTTAGTCAGGTGTGGTGGTGCATGCCTATAGTCCCAACTACTCAGGAGGCTGAGGTGGGAGAATCATCTGAGGCTGAAGTGAGCCGAGGTTGAACCACTGCAGTTCAGCCTGGGTGTCAGAGCTAGATCCTGTGTCAAAAAGAAATAGAAAATCACTCTGCTTAAAATCCTTTAGCGGCTCCCAGTTGCAGATGTTGTGGATGCCTTGCTCACAGGTCCTGGGCACACATTATTTCTGGGCATGCAGACCCCATGGCTTCCAACAGCAGCCCCTTTGACTCTTAGTCTGGGGGCTTTATCTGGCTATTTAAAGGGCAGGTTAGAAGTGCCAGGAGTAAACACTACTCTACCCCCAGTCCCCCCCAGTATTCCTCAACCAATGACTGATGGGAGTTGATGGATAAATATCCCAGATCTCTCATCCCTTGGTTGGAATTCCATTGAGTAGTGCTCTACAGGTCCCCCAAGACTCCTTGCTGGATTTGAGTCCCAGTTGTCCCAGTGGTAAGCTGCTAAATAACGCATCCTGCATCTGCTTCCTTCCTTTCCCTTCCTCTCTAGTGCCTCCTGAAATCACCTCCCAAATAAACTACTTGCAGTAACATCTTTGACTCGGGGTCAGTGTCTGGGGGAACCCAAATGAGGACACTCACCATTGCATTCGAGATGATATCCAACCTTCTTATCATGGTCTACGAGTCGGGTATGACCTGGTTCCTGGCTGCTGCCTCCTTCAACACTCCAGTTGCACTGGGCTTTCACCTCCTCAGATACGTTGAGATTCTGTGGCCTCAGGGCCTTTCTCTGGATTCGTCTGTCTTTCTGGAAGGCTCTCTTTGTTGCTCTTTTCTGGTTTCATTGCATGGGCCATTTCCCCCAAAGGGCCTCCCTGCCTTCCTCAGCCCAAACTCAGTACCCTATGTGATCCCCTCTACCAGCTCCCTGTTCCTTTTCTCCCTAGCGTGTATCATCATTCGTAATGATATATTTATTTGTCTATGTATTCGTTCAATGCTTCCATTCCTCCCCAGATTGTAAACCTCTTTGAGGATGACAATATCTGTCTTGTTCACTACTATATTCCCAGAGCCCGCCTCACAGAGGTGCCTGGTTTGGGGCTGTCACTTTGTCCAGTTCCAGGGCTCATTCACATAGCATTCTTCATGAGTGGCGCCCCCTAGAGTTGTGTGATATGACAGCTCTGCTGCCATGGTCAGAAACCAATCTGGCTTGCTGTCATGTCAGTGCCTCCCCACGCATGTGGATTTTTTCCCTCCCAAAAGGCTCAGGAACCACAGAACGTAACCCTGATGAACCTGACTCCAATTAGGAGCTTGCACTTGGCTGGTGAGAATCCCCAGACAGCCCCGAGGGTGACTCCTCCCGCTCCTTGCAGAATCTGTAGCCTGGTGTTCATTGTGCTGGCTCAAGGGTCAGATCAGAGTGAGGAGTGCTTGGTAATTGCACTGAGCCAAAGACACTCACTTCGCAATTATTGGGCATTTGAAGTTAGTTATTTGATGTGGGAAAAACCTCCACGCTGCCGAACTGCCTCTGAGCTGAAGCGAGAACATCTGTGAGAGCACAGGCTCAGAGCTCACAAAACAGACTGTCCCTTTTGCTATTAGCAATTTTCCCTGGCCTGGGCACAGCTGGGCCAAAATGAACACTTAAAAATACCCTTATCAAAGTGTAATTTATATGCAATAACTCTATAAACAATAAACTTTATGGAGCTGTGACTTACATGCAACAATGCACCCAATTTAGGTTGACAGTTTGATGAATTTTGACAGATGTATACACCTGTGTAACTACCACCCCAATGAAGATACAGAACATTTCTGTCACCCCAGAAACTTTCCTCATTGCCATCAATCACTATGTCCTCAACCGCAGACAACCACTGAACTGCCTTCTATCACTATAGATTTCTAGAGTTTCAGGCTGGGCGCGGTGGCTCACGCCTATAATACCAGCACTTTGGGAAGTTGAGGCCGGTGGATCACTTGAGGTCAGGAGTTCAAGACCAGCCTGGCCAACATGGCAAAACCCTGTCTCTACTAAAAATACAAAAATTCGCCGGGTATGCTGGCAGGCACCTATAATCCCAGCTATTCCAGAGGCTGAGGCAGGAGAATCGCTTGAACCTGGGAGGTGGAGGTTGCAGTTAGCCGAGACTGTGCCACTGAACTCCAGCCTGGGTGACAGACAGAGACTGTCTCAAAAAAAAAAAAAAAGAAATTCCTAGAGTTTCATATATGTGGATTCAAACAATATGTAATCTTTTGTGTCTGGCTTCTTTTGCTCAGCATAGTGTTTTTGAGATTCATTTGTGTTATTTTTGTGTTTTAGTTCATTCCTTTTTAATTGCAAAATAGTATTCCAGTGTATGGATCAACCATAATTTGTTTATCTATGCACATATTGGTGGACATTTGGGTCACTTACAGTTTTTGGCTATTATGAATGAAGCTGCTGTGTGCAAGTCTTTGTATGGGTATATGTTTTCCTGTCTCTTGGGTAAATGTCTAGAAGTGAAATTTCTAGGTCACATGTTTAGTGTATGCTGAGCACTATAAGAAATTGTCAAACTCTTTTCCAAAGCTGGTCCATTTTGCATTCTCACCAGCAATGGATGAAAATTCCATTGCTCCATATCACAAACACCCGATATTGTCAGTCTTATTAATTTTAGCTATTCTGGTATGTGCGTAGTGGTATCTCATTGAGGTATTGAGGTTTTGTTTTGTTTGGTTTTGTTTTGTTTGGTTTTGTTTTGTTTTCTGTTTTTGCAATGGAGTCTCACTCTGTCTCCCAGGCTGGAGTGCAGTGGCGTGATCTTGGCTCACTGCAACCTCCGCCTCCTGGGTTCAAGTAATTCTTCTGCTCAGCCTCCCAAGCAGCTGAGATTACAGGCGCGCTCCACCAGGCCTGGCTAATTTTTGTATTTTCAGCAGAGACAGCCCGGTCTCATTGAGGTTTTAATTTGCATCTCTGTACTGATTAAGGATGTTGCATACAACCGGGTGCAGTGGCTCACGCCTATAATCCCAGCACTTTGGGAGACTGAGGCGGGCAGATTGCTTGAGCTCAGCAGTTGGAGACCAGCCTGGGAAACATGGCAAAATCCTGTCTCTACAAAAAATTAAAAAGAAATTCAGCTGGGTGTGGTGGTGCACACCTGTGGTTCCAGTTACTTGGGAGGCGGGCAGGAGGATTGCTTGAGCCTGGGAAGTCAAGGCTGCAGTGAGTTGTATCATACCACTGCATTCCAGCCTGGGTGACAAGGTGAGACGCTGTCTAAAAAAAAAAGAAAAAATGTTGCACACTTTTTCATGTGCTCATTGGGCACTTATATATCTTCTCTTGTGAACTGTCTGTTTGAATATTTTGCCCACATTTTAATTGGGCTATTTGCTCATTATGGAATTATAAGATTATATATCCCAAAGGCAGTGGGTAGAGCTATTCAAGGTTCTCAGTGTGATGCCAGGGGTTCTTAGCCTCCTCTTGTTTCTGGGGTCTGGCCAGGATAACAGACTGGGACAAATGTAACTGAAGGCGGGGAAAGAGACATAAATTATTTTAGCATAAAACACTCAGGAGTCATCTAACCTCAAACTTCAGTACTGAAGTTTTTGAATCTGAATCACCTGGAGGACTTGTTAAAATGCAGATTCCCTGAGGGCCCCACTCCCAGAGTTTCTGCATTAGTGGGTGATATGGTTTGGCTTTGTATCACCACCCAAATCTCATGTGGAATTGCAATCCCCATGTGTCAGGGGAGGGACCTCGTGGGAGGTGACTGGATCTTGGGGGCGGTTTCCCCATGCTGTTCTTGTCATAGTGAGTGAGTTCTCATGAGATCTGATGGTTTAAAACTGTGTGGCAGTTCCCTCCTCGCTCTTTCTCTCCTGCTGCCATGTAAGATGTGCCTTGCTTCCCCTTTGCCTTCTGCAATGATTGTAAGTTTCCTGAGGCCTCCTCAGCCATGTGGAACTGTGAATCCATTAAATCCTTATAAATTACCCAGTCTCAGGGAGTTCTTTATAGCAGTGTGAAAATGGACTAATACAGTAAGTATGGAGTGGGTTGTGAGAATCTGAATTTCTAGCCAGCTCCCAGGTGATGCCAATGCTACCAGTCTATAGACCATGCTTTGTCCAGGCATGGTGGCTCATGCCTGTAATCCCAGGGTTCTGGGAGGCCAGGGTGGGAGGATTGTTTGATGCCTGGAATTTGAGACCAGCCTGGGCAACACATTGAGACCTACCCTGAGCTCCACAAAAATTAGCCAGGCATGGTGGTACTTGCCTGTAGTCCCAGTTACTTGAGAGGCTGAGGTGGGAGAATCGCTTGAGCCCAGGAAGTCAGGATTGTAGTGAGCAATCATGGCTCCACTGCACTCCAGCCTGGACAATAGAGTAAGACCCTGTCTCCAAAATTAATTAAAAAAAATATAGAGAACACACTTTGAGTAACACCTTATAGATGCTCAAGCTTGAAGTCAGACCCTAGTGAGGACCTCTTACTCCCCACTTGTCCATTTTATAATTTCCAAAGCGCCCCCTTCCTCCTCTGCCCACCCATCCATTCACTCTGTAGAGCAACTGGACAGATTTGAATGACTGACAACCCACATTGTCTCCCTGGAGAGGACCAAAGGAATCCAAGGGACTCAGGAAGAAAGAGAAAAGCAATCAAGCAAGAGAAGTAAATACATCTACCAACCGCAAAAGGAGTGGACGCACAGGGTGCCCTAAAAGTCTAGAGCAGAGGCCATAAACTGTCTGCATCTGTCTGGATATGTGTTTCATTTTGGAGGGTGCCTCCACCGTGTTTAAAATTCTTTGGAATCAATTGTTAACATGTATAAACTTGGAGATTTTATCTAAAAAAACCTGGCCGGGTATGGTGGCTCATGCCTGTAATCTCAGCACTTTGGGAGGCTGAGGCAGGAGGATCATTTGAGCCCAGGAGTTTGAGACCAGCCTGAGCAACACAGTGAGACAACCCCCTTCTCAAAAAAAAAAAAAAAAAAATATATATATATAATATATATAGCCAGGTGTAATGGTGCATGCCTATAGTCCCGTCTACTTGGGAGGCTGTTGTGGGAGGATCACTTGAGCCTGGGAGGTCAAGGCTGCAGTGAGCTATGATTGCATGGCTATACTCCAGCCTGGGCGACACTCCAGCCTGGGCAACAGAGTGAGACCCTGCCTCATAAATAAATAGATACATAAATAAATTGGATTTACACTTGAAAAAATTAGGAAATCCTGCCATACTGGTCCCCATTCATACTCTTCTCCCATAGTGACAGCTCGGTCTGGGTCTGGACTCTGAGTCTTTTTCCGTCTGCCTAGGGGTGATCACGGCTCTCACGGTAGCTAGGCCCTGTGTACCTTGTCACCTTTGTTGGTTCCATTAATTCTGCCAACTGTGTAAATAGATAATTCATCCTCTCTCTTCAGTTTACCCTGTGCTATCTGCTTCCTTCCTTGGCTACTTATAGATCTTCAAGCATTCAGGGTATGATACTGATGTATGTTAGCACTGCTGTCACAAAGATAATGCTACAATCCTCCATCTCCACCTCATCTTTCAGTCTCAGTTTTCTCATCCAAAAAAGTGAGAATGAAAATATCCACTGCTTGGAAGTCGGATTAAATATGTTGCTACCTGGCACGTACAAATGTGAGTTTCTTTCCAACATTACATTTTGATGAATAAAAATAGCCCTGGCAGAAATGTCTCAACAGGTTGTCCTAAGCCTAGTTTCTATTTTTTGCTTTCAAAGCCAGAATCATGTTAAGTTTTTCACTGTTTAGCATCATCATTGCCATAATGATCTGTTATGGCCCTGTTTCTGGTAATAGTCATAAACAACAATATCTGCCACTTACTGAGGGTTACTATACACCAGGGACTTCCCACTTACTGTCTTTTTAAAAATTTTATTCCAGCCAGGTGTGGTGGCTCATGACTGTAATCCCAGCACTTTGGGAGGCCGAGGCGGGTGGATGACCTGAGTTCAGGAGTTCAAGACTAGCCTGGCCAACATGTTGAAACCCCATCTCTACTAAAAATACAGAAATTAGCTGGGCATGGTGGCAGGCATCCGTAATCCCAGCTACTCAGGAGGCTGAGGCAGGAGAACGGCTTGGACCCAGGAGGCGAAGGTTGCAGTGAGCCAAGATTGCACCATTGCACTCCAGGCTGGGCAACAAGAGTGAAACTCTGTCTCAAAAAAAAAAAAAATTATTCCTTATTTTTAGAGATGGGGGTCTTGCTATGTTGCCCAGGCTGGTCTCAAACTCCTGGGCTCAAGCAATTCTCCTGTCTCTGCCTCCTGAGTTGTTGGGATTATAGGTATGAACCACTTCGCCTGGCATCATGTATTACCTTATTGAAACCTCACAGTAACTGTAGGAGGTGAGTGCCATTATTTGTTTGTTTTTTTGTTTTTTGAGCTGGAGTCTCACTCTGTCACCTAGGCTGGAGTGCCATGGTGCGATCCCCACTCACTGCAACCTCCACCTCCCAGGTTCAAGTGATTCTTGTGCCTCAGCCTCCTGAGTAGCTGGGATTACAGGCATGCGCCACCATGCCTGGCTAATTTTTGTATCTTTAGTAGTGATGGGGTTTCGCCATGTTGGCCAGGCTGGCCTTGAACCCCTGACCTCAGGTGATCCACCCGTCTCAGCCTCCCAAAGTGCTGGGATTACAGGCATGAGCCACCACACCCGGTCGTGAGTGCCATTATTAACCCCCTTTCCCAGATGAGGAAACAGGTGCTGGTATTAAACTGAGGCTCCAAGAGAGCTGTTTTCCCAGGGTCAAGTGGTAGAGCTAGGATTTGAATCCAGGCTGGTCTGACTTCAGAGCTTGATCTGAATTCCCCACACCATAGATGCCTAGTGAATTATTGCATATATATCTAATGTATCCTGTTATATTTCAGACACCCATAATTCACCTCGTAGTGGGACTTTCTGAAAAACCCTATGTCAGGTGCAGGCTGTATTAGTTTTCGCTTGCTGGCAACGCAGGTGTCCTCAGCAAAGAAACAGACACATCATCAGTTCCCCTTCTCCACGTGTCCCAGGCTAAGCCAATCCAGTGCTTCCCATTCCACTAGCCACACTAATTGGCTCAGGAACGGACATTAGATTAAAACAGGCCAATCAGAGTGAATTTCAGGAATATTGGGAGAAGTCACCAGAAAAGAGGACTGCTCCCTTCTGAAGCTGGACTTGAACCTGAGAAAATGTGACCTGGGGCTGCTGGCGGCCAGCTTGTCCCCGTTAGGTGACAATAAGCAGACAGAAGAGCCAAGCAGCTATGGAGGAAAATCAGGTACCTAAATTTAGCTCAACTCCTGCCTCATTCAGTTATACAATTCAATAAGTTCTTTTCTTCTTCCCAGTTTAAAGTTTACTGTGTTGTGTTCACTCTCAGTTGAAAGGATCTTAACTGATACAGCAAGTCAAAGCCTTTTTAGGTAAAGCATTTGCCATTTGATCCTTGTGGTATGATTCTGGCCACATTATTGTCAAATCTCAGATGTAACAGCAATTCATCTGTAAATATGTCATATCTTTTTTTTTTTTTTTTGAGATGAAGCCTCGCTCTGTCACCCAGGCTGGAGTGCAGTGGCACGATCTCACCTCCACCTCCTGAGTTCAGGCAATTCTCCTGCCTTAGCCTCCTGAATAGCTGGGACTACAGGCATGTGCCACCATGCCTGGCTAATTTTTGTATTTTCAGTAGAGATGGGGTTTTGCCATGTTGGCCAGGCTGGTCTTGAACTCCTGACCTCAAGTGATCTGCCTGCCTTTGCCTCCCAAAGTGCTGGGATTATAGGCGTGAGCCACTGTGCCTGGCCATATATCATATCTTTAAAAGGCAGAAATTATTTAAGAAAATATAACCAGAATAGCATTAAAAATTAAAAATTTGCTGGGCATAGTGACTCACACCTGTAATCCCATTGATTCGAGAGGGCAATGTGGGAGAAACATTTGAGGCCAAGAGTCTGGGCAGCATATCCAGACTCCACCTCTACAAAAAAAAAAAAAAAAAAAAAAAGGAAAGAAGAAAAAAATGAAACAAACAAAAAAATAGCTCGGTGTGGTGGCACATACCTATAGTCCCAATTACTCAGGAGGCTGAGGTAGGAGGATCACTTGAGCCCAGGAGGTCAAGGCTGCAGTGAGCTATGATCTTGCCACTGCATTCCAGCCTGGGCAACAGAGTGAGATCTTGTCTCTAAATATAAATAAGTAAAAATAAAATAAAAATCAACTATAATGTAGAATTATATTTATGACTAACTGTTGCAACCAAACTTTTCCAAAAATTTCCCATGAAAGGTGTAATTATGCTCAGTAAAAATTGCTCCTTAAAAACGGTTAGTGACTTTGTTGTTTGAATTTAAGATCTTTAAATACATTTTGGGAAATGAGACTCAGACATCGAGAACCTATTAGCAGGAGCCGAGAGCAGCCTGTGAAACATGGCAAAACCCTGTCTCTACAAATAATACAAAAATTAGCCAGGCATGGTGGCTGCAAGTCTGTGGTCCCAGTTACTTGGGAGACTGAGACGGGAGGATGGCTTGAGCCTGGGAGGCCGAGGTTGCAGTGAGCCCAGATTGCACTACTGTACTCCAGCCTGGGCAACAGAGTAAAATCTATTTCCCAAAACAAAACGAAACAAAACAAAAAAACAAACCTATTAGGAGTGGGAGTGTGAGCATATAGATGTGTGTGTACACATGCACACATTTCTTCTTATGTGTGTGTTTATGGAGCCAAAAGACTGCATAACCCTAATTGGAAATCTAACAATAAAGCCATTTTGATGTTGTAAGCAGCTGGCAAGAGGGAATTTACAAACTACAAAGAGTAAAATATAAATAAAGAAGCTGAAGAAAAAAAAAAAGAAAAAGAGAAAGAACACCTACGGTTGCCAGTAACTAGGGATGGATGAAATAAGAAGCATTTTCAGTTTTAGTCAAACCTTTAGAATTTTTCAAAATGCTTAAATGAGAAAAATAAGGAGGTGGAGTGCATGTGGGAGTGGGCACTGCCAATTTAGATGAAGATAAAATTTTAAATCTTGTTAAACAATCCCAACAAATTGGCATTCAAAGTGTGCTATTAATAAAAGTGTTCCTTTAAAAAAATGGTTTGGTGTAAACCACTTTTTTTCCCTTTATGCTTTATTTTCCTTCCTTCCTTCTTTCTTTCTTTCTTTCTTTCTTTCTTTCTTTCTTTCTTTCTTTCTTTCTCTCTTTCTTTCTTTTTTCTTTTTTCTTTCTTTTTTCTTTCTTCTTTCTTTCTTTCTTCCTTTCTTTCTTTCTTTTCTTTCTCTCTCTCTCTCTCCTTCCTTCCTTCCTTCCTTCCTCTCTCTCTCCTCTCTCTCTCTTTTTTCTTTCTTTCTCTCTCTCTCTCTCTCTCTCTCTCTTTTTGACAGGGTCTCACTCTGTTGGCCAGGCTGGAGTGCAGTAGAGCGATTTTGACTCACTGCAACATCTGTCTCCCAGGCTCAAGCAATCCTCCCACCTCAGCCTCCTGAGTAGCCAGGACCACAGGTGCATGCCAACCCCCGGATAACTTTTGTAATGTTTGTAGAAGTGGGATTTTGCTATGTTGCCCAGGCCAGTCTTGAGCTCCCAGACTCAGGTAATCCTCCCACCTTGGCCTCCCAAAGTGCTGGGATTACAAGTGTGAACCACCACCCCTGGCCTCCCCTTTATACTTTCCCTTAACATGCTAAGGTACTTGAGTTACAAAGACTGTTCAACTTTTAGTTCCTTTGTTTATTAGCTGTGTGACCACGGGGAGTTAACTAGACCTTTCTGAGCCTCAGCTTCCAGGCTAAATTTTAAAATTTTTTTGTAGACATAGGGTCTCACTATGTTGCCCAGGCTGGTTTTGAACTTCTGGCCTCAAGCAATCTTCCTGCCTTGGCCTCCCAAAGAGCTGTGATTAAAGGCGTGATCCACCATGCCTGGCCTGATCTCTGTTTTTAAGTATTGGCAATTAAGTCACATTTTTCTAGAACACCAATGAAACCAAACAGAATATATTCTGCAGGCCACATTTGGCCACAATCCTCTGGGTTACATCAGTTGCTTTAAAGTGGCAGAGAATGAGATGATTTCAGCCCTGGAAAGATGTTCTGCTCCATTTCATCCTTGGAATGGCTGTCATGCCGAATGCAGGTAGAAGATAATAACTAACATTATGGAGTGTCCACTGTGTGCCAGACACTGTCCCTAGCACTTTACATGAGCTAATTTGTTAATACCTCCAATAACTACTCATTTTAATTTGGGTCACAAATGAAAGTTTCATAAATGAGCTGAAAGTCCAGGTTAGGCACTGAGCTACTCATTGAAAACCCTGCACCTTGGGGTCAGCAGTTCCTTCAGAGACTAGATAAGGAGGCACTTCGGTTGGCTGACTCCCTGAGGCCCCCCTCCCCTCGAATTTCCTTTGAGGATCCTTAGAAGAGGGGACAAATGTTCCCAGTATAGGAACAGCAAGTGCAAATGCCCCAGGGGGCAATGGCCTCTGTGATTTGGGGAACAGCAAAATGAAAGAATGATTGAGGGGGAGGGAGGGGCATGTGAAGGGGTTCTGCCTGCACCCTTAGAAAAACCCAACTGTAGAAGGGGTGGTGGAGGGAGAGGGGTGGTGGAGGAGGGAGAGGTGTGGTGGGTAGGGAGACGGGTGATGGAGGAGGGAGGGGGTGCTGGGGAGAGGTGTGGTGGGGGAGGGAGAGGTGTGGTGGGGCAGGGAGAGGGGTAATGGGGGAGGGAGAGGGGTGGTGGAAGAGGGAAAGGGGAGGAGGAGGAAGAGGGGTGGTGGAGGTAGAAGACAGATGGGTTGGTGGAGGAGGGAGGGGGTGTGGAGGAGGGAGAGGGTAGTGAAAGTGAAGGAGGGAGGGGGTGGGGGTAGTGGAGAAGAAAAAGGGGGTGATGGAAGAGAGAGAAGAGGTGGTGGAGGAGGCAGGGGGTGGTGGAGGAGTGAGGGGGCATGGAGGAGGGGGAGGGAGGAAGAGGAAGAGGAGAGTGGGAGGTGGAGGAGGGAGAGGAGGTGGTGGAGGAGTAAGAGGGAGTAATGAAGGTGGAGCACGGAGAGGGGGTGGTGGAGGAGGGAGAGGGGTTGATGAAGGTGGAGGAGGGAGAGGGGATGGTGAAGGAGGGAGAGGGGGTAATGGAGGAGGGAGAGGGGGTGATGAAGGTGGAGGAGGTAGAGGGGGTAGGAAAGGAAGTGATGAAGGTGGAGGAGGGAGAGGGGTTGATGAAGGTGGAGGAGGGAGAGGGGATGGTGGAGGAGGGAGAGGGGGTGATGGAGGAGGGAGGGGGGTGATGAACGTAGAGGAGTGAGACGGGGTAGGAAAGGGAGTGATGAAGGTAGAGGAGGGAGAAGGGGTGGTGGAGGAGGGAGAAGGGGTGGTGGAGGTGGAGGAGAGAGAGGGGGTGGTGGAGGAGGGAGGGGGTGATGAAGGTGGAGGAGGGAGAAGGTGTGGTGGAGGAGGGAGAGGGTGTGGTGGAGGAGAGAGAAGGGTGTGGTGGAGGAGGGAGGGGGTGATGAAGGTGGAGGAGGGAGAGGGGGTGGTGGAGGAGGGAGAGGGGGTGGTGGAGGAGGGAGAAGGGATAATGAAGGTGGAGGAAGGAGGGGGTGGTGAAGGTGGAGGAGGGAGAGGGGGTGGTGGAGGAGGGAGAGAGGGTGGGAGAAGGAGTGATGAAGATGGAGGAGGGAGGAGGGTGGTGGAGGAGGGAGGGAGGTGGGTGGAGGAGGGAGGGGGTGGTGGAGGTGGAGGAGGGAGAGGGAGGAAGAGGAGGGAGAGGGGCGATGGAGAAGGTAGGGGGGTGGTGGAGGAAGGCGGCAGTGGTGTTCCTAACCCTTGATCTTGGCTTGTTAACCCTTTCTGAGCTTCCCTTTAGCGGGGGGATGAGGATGGTCGGCTGTTTCCACATTTAAGGGCAGAGCTGGGTGAAGGGTGGTGTTAGTGCTCGAGGGTCACGCGCGGGTGGCTTTGCCGCGGTGGTGGCAGCGGTGGCAGAGGCGACACCGCTGGAGGCGGCGGAGGGACGGGCCCACCAACGCTGCAGGCCGGTAAGGCGGGCGGGGGCTGCGGGCCACCAGGTCCTGCCCTCCCAAGCTGCAGCACGCGCTGGCTGGGGGGTCGTGGGGGCTCCCGTGGGGGCGCGGCCGGACGCGGGACGCTGCCTCCGGGAATGGGGCTGCTGGAGCGGGAGGATGCGCTAGAACCGGGGGTGGGGCGACGAGGGACTTGGGGGCGGGGAGACCCGCGCAGGACCCGTGCTATCCTTTGGGATTTTGAGGGGCGGGTCCGGCAAGGCCCCCCAAAGTGGCTGCTCCTGCGAGTCTCCGAGAGGGGAACAGGTGGTCGCGGGGTGGCTGCGGCGAAGGTAGCTCCTCTCCGGTAGCCACGGGGTGTCGGATGTGCGCTTTTACCCAGGCTCGATATGTGCCTCTCCTGGAGCCGGCTGGGACCCCGCATCAGGCTTTGGTCAAGGGTCTTTCGAAGGGATAGGAAGACGGGAAACTCAGAAAGTGCTGAAATCTGGGCACTAGAGAGACAGTGTGTCTGATTTTTACCCGCATCCTCACTCCCACTCTAGGTCATAGCACGTTCCCTGGATCAAGGTTTCCATAGTTAATCAGAGGGCGTCTCCGCCCCTCACCCCAACCCCATCCTGACAATATATCCTTTTGATTTCACCTCCTAAACCAGGTGTTGCAAACTCAGATGCACACAGGGCCAGAGGGATGCACAATGGGCCCAACTCTTACCTAGTTTCAACTACGCACCAGGCGCTGTCTGGAGTTATTCATTCATTGAATCCTCACCACGCTCCCTGAACTTGCTACTTGTGATGACCCTGATTTTACAGACAGGGAAACAGGTAGGCAAGGTGAAAGTCACTTACCCAAGATCACATGAGTAGCAAGTGTCAAGTCAGGATGGGACTCCAGGCAGGCGGCTCCAGAGTCCTGACTCTTAACCACGCTGCTGTGCTGAGCAGTTCAGCTGTGGGGGTCGCCAGGAGCGCTGCCAGGCAGGATTGCAGACCCTGTGTGGCCAGGCTGTCCAATTTCTTGTCTCAGCCTCCTGAGTAGCTGGGACTACAGGCATGCACCACCACGCCTGGCTAATTTTTGTATATTTTGGTAGAGATGGGGTTTCACCATGTTGGCCAGGCTGGTCTCAAACTCCTGACCTCAGGTGATCCACCCGTCTCGGCCTCCCAAAGTGCTGGTATTACAAGCTTCAGCCACCTCACCCGGCCTTAATTTTTGTATTTTTAGTAGAGACGGGGTTTTGCCATGATGGCCAGGCTGGTCTCAAACTCCTGACCTCGGGTTATCCGCCTGCCTTGGCCTCCCAAAGTGCTGGGACTACAGCATGAGGCCCTGCACCCAGCCCTGAGTTCTTATTTTCACGCCCCTGAAGCTCAGATCTGGCCCCACATAATTTGGTGGAGAGAAGAATTTTGGTGGAGGGAAGAATTTTCTTTTGGAAGGTGTGGCTATACAATAAAAATGACAGTGTTCACACTGGTCTTACTCTTGTCAGGGCCCTGGGGCCCTGAGCTATTCCCTCTTATAAAACTTTTTTTTTTTTTAAATTATTGTATTTTTTTCAATAGAAATGTTCTTTTCTTTTTTTTCTTTTCTTCCTTTTTTTTTTTTTTGAGATAGAGTCTCTCTCTGTCACCCAGGCTGGAGTGCAGTGGCATGAAAATGGCTCATTGCAGCCTTGACCTCCCGGGCTCAAGCTATCCTTCTGCCTCAGCCTCCTGGGAAGCTAGTAACACAGGCATGTGCCACTGTTACCGGAAAGGGATTCTGATCCAGATCCCAAGAGAGGGTCCTTGGATCTCATGCAAAAAAAATTCGGGGCGAGTACATAGAGTAAAGTGAAAGCAAGTTTTTTAAGAAAATAAAGGAATAAAGAATGGCTACTCCATAGGCAGAGCAGCAGCATGGGCTGCGCAGCTGCTTATACTTATTGTTACTTCTTGGTTATATGGTAAACAAGGGGCAGATTATTCATGAATTTTCTATGAAAGGGGTAGGCAGTTTCCAGAACTGAGGGTTCCTCCCCTTTTTAGACCAAGTAGGGTAACTTCCTGATGTTGCCATGGTATTTGTAACTGTCATGCTGCCGGTGAGTGTGTCTCTTAGCATGGTAATGCATTGTAATTAGCGTATAATGAGCAGTGAGGATGATCAGAGGTCACTTTGGTTGCCATCTTGGTTTTGGTGGGTTTTGGCTGGCTTCTTTACCATATGCTGTTTCATCAGCAAAGTCTTTGTGACCTGTATCTTGTGCCGACCTCCTATCTCATCCTGTGACTTAGAATGCCTTAACCTTCTGGGAATGCAGCTCAGTAGGTCTCAGCCTTATTTTACCCAGCCCCTATTCAAGATGGAGTTGCTCTGGTTCAAATGCCTCTGACACCATCATGCCCACCTATTTTTTTTTTTTTTTGTAGAGATGGGGCCTCACTTTGTTGGGCAGGCTGGTCTTGAACTCCTGGGCTTAAGCAATCCTCTTGCCTTGACCTCCCAAAGTGCTAAAATTACAGGTGTGAGCCACTGTGCCTGGCCTAGGCTTCAAGTTTTTTGGGAGCCGTGGCTCTGTCTTCCTCATTCTTGTATTCCCACATGTCACACATACTGCATTTCACATAATGATATTCAGGAAGTACTGAATCAAATGTAATTAACTCAAGTAAAGTAGAGATTCAGTCTCTTAGACACCTGCCTCAGGCAAGAAATCTCTCTTCCCCTCTGAGTTATAATGGAAGTCACTGTTCTCAAGCTTGCAGGATAAAGAGCAGCACAGACTCTGACATAGGACACCTTTGTTTTCCTCACTGCCACCCCTGAATTCAAAGTCATTTTGTCCCTATGTGGGTGTCAAGCGGCTAAGAAAATGGGCCCAGCATGAGACAGTTTCAAACAGTGCAGCTTTTTATTATGCAAAGGTAACAGGGTTTCTCGCAGCATGACCCCAGCAATAGTGGCTGTCTGTGACTGTTACCTCACAGCCAGGGAAGAAAAAAAGCTTTCAAGAGTATGAGTCAATCAAAGGGTGCTACTGACTTCACCTTTTGCTAGGGGGCCAGAATCTTTTGAGGGGCAAAACTATAATTCCAGCAACTAATAATGAGTCTTCAAAAAGCAACAAAACAAAACAAAAAACTTCCTAAGAAACCAACCCAAAACAAAACAACAAAAACAGAATGGAGAGAAATCTGGGAAGATCTACAGAGGATTGTAAATCTTTGGGAGGTAGAACAGCCAGAACTAGATTTCTGTCATTTTGGTTCTGCCTGAACCAAAACATGGCCCGAGAAGGACTGCATGATATGCCCTATGAACTTCATTAGGGATTGATGGGTTCAATAAGCTCCTATTGCAAAAATGCGAACATAGCAACCACTTACATTTTAGTCTGAACTAGCCACTTTCTGACAGCTGGGAGTTGCAAAGTCAACTGCTTACAGGGTCCGAGCATGAAATGTCAACAACTGAAGCAGGCAGAGCCAGAAAATACAAGAGTGGTGGGAATATAGTGAGTTGGGAACACATGCTCCATCTATAGGAGCAGCAGCAACTCAGCTCTGGGCAATCATTACCATGAAAAATTACAGGTTCTATGTTACTGTATGTTTTGGGAAGTTGGAAATCAGATTTTTTACATGAAATCTTCCAATTAAAAAATGTAAAAAAAATTTATTATTTTACTAGTTCTTCCTCTTTCTTCATCATAGGTTCCTCCGAAAATCTGATTAAAGCTATCGTGCCTGGGAAACTACAGCACATACTTTTTTTGTATACAATTTCAAGAGATTCATAGACAGCCTCCCCCAATCCCATGGTGTCTCAAGGGCAGAAGGAATGCCTGCCCTGGTATTTATACTTTCCAAGAAAGGATCTGATTGGTTGGATTTACCACTGTCAAATAGGTCGCACTTCCATTGGGCAGAGTTTCATTTGTGGTCTCCCCCTCATGTACTGATTGGCTGCTTTTGGCTTGAGCACCGATTCTGAGTCCCATAGTGATCACAGCTGCAGAGCTGGCTTCACCCAAAGCACGGCTCAAACAGACCTTTCAGAACAAAGTTATCCCAGGGATTACTTTTCTCAGAATTAATCTGTGGGCACCCGTATCATTTGAACTTCATGAACTGCCCTCCAGAATGCCTCCTCCCTCACCTTCTCTTCTCAAATTCCCACCATTTGGAAAACTCCTCTTGCTCCTTTTCATCTTTCCTCTTGTATTAAAAAAAAATTCTGGTAAAGCCATTACATTTAATTTTTATGATCTTGTTTAAAAGATTAGCTGTATTGCATCAAAGTCATACAAGTATATAGTTTAAAAGTCAGATTATAACATATTTATAATAAAATATTAGTTTCTGTTCCTCTGTTTCTGGTCCATCCCTAGAGACAACTACTGCCAACTGCCTTAGCTGTTTCTTTTCTATCTTCTTTTTAATTTTTTTGGAGACAGGGTTTCACTCTGTCACCCAGGCTCTAGTGCAGTGGTGTGATCATGGCTCACTGCAGCCTTGACCTCTTGGGCTCAAGCCATCCTCCTGCCTCAGCCTCCTGAGTAGCTGGGACCACAGGTGTGCACCACCATAGCTGGCCAAGTTGTTTCTTATGTCATTCCCCCATCTTCATATTTCTAATCTCGATTTTGACATATTTCCAGTTATTTCATTCACTCTCTCACTGACTCATTAATTAGCTGATTAAGTAAACACATATACAAGAAGTCTCTACTATAGGCTAAGGGCTGTCTAGGGTGCTATGGATAGAGAGAGGAACAAAAACAGATACCGTGTCTATTTCTATCTCTGTCTTTCTCTCTCTGTCAGTTTGTCTTCCTGTCTCTCATTCACTATTTTTATCTCTTTGCCTCTTTGTCTCTGTCTCAATCATTTTGTCCCTGTTCTCCGCCTCTCTCTCCACGTCTCTCTGGATTTAACATAAAATGTTCTCTTTCTCTTTATCTCTGTCTTTCTATATCTCCCCACCCCCTGTCTTTCCATCTCCCACGCCCTTCTTAAAAGGGCATGACTATAAAAGGGTGCTCTCCAGGTGAGGCCATTTTTAACCGAGGACTTAGCAGACACTTTTGTCTTGTCTTTTTTTTTTTTTTTTTTTTTTTTTCTGAGATGGAGTCTCGCTCTGTCGCCCAGGCTGGAGTGCAGTGGCGCGATCTCGGCTCACTGCAAGCTCCGCCTCCCGAGTTCGCGCCATTCTCCTGCCTCAGCCTCCCGAGTAGCTGGGACCACCGGCGCCCGCCACCACGCCCGGCTAATTTTTTTTTGTATTTTTAGTAGAGATGGGGTTTCACCGTGTAAGCCAGGATGGTCTCGATCTCCTGACCTCGTGATCCGCCCGCCTCGGCCTCCCAAAGTGCTGGGATTATAGACGTGAGCCACCGCGCCTGGCCTGTCTTGTCTTTTGTATACAGTATTTGAGGGCGGGGGCGAGGTGGGGAAGTTAGCTAGTTTGCACTTTAATGTAGTTTAGTCAAGATAGTCTTTTTATGAACCAATTTGTGCAGATTGGATGTGACTAAAATATCAAATCCCTACATTGTCAAAGCACTAATGGATTGGGAAGGTAAATTATAGAAGAGTGTTTTCCTGTAAGAATTACACTGACATTCAAAATTAACTTTTCTTGATACCGAGTCCACTGCATTCCACACTGGCTTTGCGGGGAACATTTAAATCCAAGTTCTTCGTGAGTGCTCTAATAGACAAGAACTGTGGTAATTAAATTAGAAGGCAAAAATTGTTCCTTGGTTACTTCCTGCAAGTTTTCTTACCTTGGGGGACTATTAGTGAGGAAGAATGTTTAGCAGATTTGTATTAGTCTGTTCTCATGCTGCTAATAGAGACATACCTGAGACTGGGTAATTTATAGAGGAAAGAGATTTAATTGACTCACAGTTCCACATGACTGGGGAGGCCTCACAATCACGGTGGAAGAGCAAGGGACGTCTCACATGGTGGCAGGCCATAGAGAGAGCATGTGCGAGGGAACTCCCCTTTATAAAACCATCAGACCTCGTGAGGCTTATTCACTATCATGAGAAAAACATGGGAAAGACCTGCCCCCATGATTCAATTACCTCCCACTGGGTCCCTCCCATGACATGGGAATTATGGGAGCCATAATTTAAGATTTGGGTGGGGACACAGCCAAACCATATTAAGAGTCTCGACAAAATTAAGATTATTCTGCCTTTATGGAAATGAGCAGGTCCACAAATGACTCAAAATATTTGGGGGGAAAAGAAGTAGGTAGCTTGGGAGGTAGCTAGAGATGGGGTTTCACTATGTTTCCCAAGCTGGTCTTGAACTCTTGGGCTGAAGTGATCCACCTGCCTTGGCTTCCCAAAGTGCTGGGATTACAGGTGTCAGCCTGGCCACGAACAACATTTTTAATGTGTATGTAATATTTCTGTTTAGTTTTCCTTCCCTCTATACCATGCCTTGGTTAGTAATCTGTTGTGCTTGAACCAAAGCTGAACTGACACTGAAGACACACGGGTTCAGTCCCACTTTTGCTGCTCACCAGCTACGTGACCTTGTGAAAGTTATTCAGCTTCTCTGGGCTTAGTTTCTTTTTCCGTTGAGTAAGACGTTTTGGACCAGATGACCTCTAATGTTTTTCCCAGATCTAAGATTCCTTGACACACCTACCAACAAATGTTTCAATTTTAATATGTAGTTTTTTCTTGTTATGAAGAGGGAAAACTCATTAAACAATTTGGAAAAAATCAAAAAAGGATAAGTGAAAACTATCCACAATTCCATCATCCGAAGAACCAATGTAAACACTTTGGGGCAATTTTCTTTGTCTTTTTTTGATATATAATTTCACAAATCATGATTGTTTATATTGTGCATGACAGTTTTGTATCCTTTTTTTATTTCTTCCTAAGCATGTCTCTGTGTCTTGCCTGTCTTCATGAACATTATGATTATTATTATTTTTTAGAGATACGTTCTCATTCTGTTACCCAGGTTGGAGTGCAGTGGTGCAATTGTAGCTCACTGCAGCCTCCAGCTCCTGGGCTTGAGCAATTCTCCCACATCCGCCTGCCAAAGTGATAGGATTATAGGCATGAGCCACCATGCCTGGCCATGAAAAACAGGCATGAGCCACCATGCCTGGCCTTGAAAAATATATATTTTTTTGAGACAGGGTCTCCCTCTGTTGCCCAGGCTGAAGTGCAGTGTCGTGATCATAGCTCACTGTAGCCTTGACCTCCTGGACTTAAGCAATCCTTCTACCTCAGCCTCCCAAGTAGTTGGGACTACAGGCGTGTACCACCATGTCCAGCTAGCTTTTTTTTTTTTTTTTTTGGTATTTTTTGTAGAGATGGGGTTTCACTATGTTGCCCAAGCTGGTCTTGAACTCTTGGGCTGAAGTGATCCACCTGCCTTGGCTTCCCAAAGTGCTGGGATTACAGGTGTCAGCCTGGCCACGAACAACATTTTTAATGTGTATGTCATATTTCATTGAGCGGTCATGTCTGGATTTACATAACCACTCTCTGGTTGGCAGACATTTTGGTTGATGCCAGCTTTTCTCTTATGGCTATTTGTGATGCATATCTTTGTTCATGAATATTTCTCCATCTTTTTATTTTCCTTGAGTTTATGGCTCTTTCAATGGTTCTATTTGTGTTTCCTGGCAAACATGGATAAATGCCCCAGAAACTTGCTGGGTGGGTGGCTTCGTGAATTTTCCCTGGAATTAAAACTTACTTTGCCTCCCATAACTGAATTGACTGTATGTCAGAGGGAGGACAGTGGCTGGGAGGTAACTCTGACTTTCATGCTTTATTAAGTCCTCACTTGCCTGCAGCCTCACTTCTTTTAGGTATGACCTAATTTTCATTGAGTTCTTTTGTCTGCACGGCTAATAACGACATTATCCTCAACGACAATAATAACAGCTACTGTTTTAAGAGTTTGTTCAATAGTGCCAGGTATTGTCCACTGTCTCATTCCATCCTTACAACAGCCCCTCTGAAGTCACTATTTTCAACATTTTGCAGACGAGGAAACTGAGGCACAGAAAAGTTGAGTTCTTTTCTCAAGGTCAGATAGGGAATAGGATTTGCACCAAGTTTCTCTTTATCCAAGAGTTTGACCTCTGAAGCACTGTATTCCTCTCCTTGCCCCCATATTTGCTCTCCTAGAAACATCTGTAATTAAAAAAAAATAGAAGAAAAGGAGGAGATTGATAAAGGGATGGAAGGAAGAAGGAACCATCCTTTGCATTTCCCTAATGTCTAGCGGCAGCTCTGCATTAAAAGCCAGGAGACTTGCGTTCCTCTTCTAGCCTTACTATTCATTTGCTGTGTGGCCTTGAGCAAACTACATCCTATATCCATGCCTCAGTTTATAATCTACAAAATTAAAGGGCTGGCCATGCGCGGTGGCTCATGCCTGTAACCCCAGCACTTTGGGAGGCTGAGGTGGGTGGATCACTTGAGGTCAGGAGTTCGAGATCAGCCTGACCAACATGGTGAAACCCCATCTTTACTAAAAATACAAAAATTAGCCAGGTGGTTGTGGCAGATGCCTGTAGTCCCAACTACTCGTGAGGCCAAGTCAGGAGAATCGCTTGAGCCTAGGAGGTGGAGGTTGCAGTGAGCCGATATTGTGCCATTGCACTCCAGCCTGAATGACAGAGCGAGACCCTGTCTCAAAAAAATAAATAAATACATAAATTAAAGGGCTAAATTATAGAGTCTTTATGGACTCTGAGACTCTTAAGATTCTCTGATTGACCCTAGGTTGGTGGGAGGGGACTCAGAAGTGATTATCGCTGCAGAAAACGGGGAATCCAAGGCTCAAGGAAGTCTGCAGTATCACAAAAACTATCAGGCCCTGTTGGGTCTTTCACGTGTAAATATCTGAGACTTTGTATTTTGGGGTCTCTTTGGGAATGGATTTAATGAAGGTTAAACACAAAAGAATAGAGTTAAGAATATCTGGACACCACAGGGAACCCAAGAGCAGGAGCAAGGGAACCAGATGTTTCTGTTCATATCTACACTCCTGGCAACATCATGCCTCTCACTCTGACACCGTTCTCTACGCTCCAGGGCCCCGGAAGTTGCTGAGTTTTCAGATATTTGAGCCTGAACTAACACCTCCCTACGCAATCTAGGAGAAAGAATCTGATTGGTCCAGCCAGGGTCACATGGTCTACTTCTGATCCAATTAACTGTGTCAGGCTGGGGGTGTGGTCCAAACACAGGGGCCACCTCTGGAGGGGTGGGGCACCTCAGGCGTCATTCCTGGGCGTGATGGCTCAGAAGTCCAGGGACAGAATTGCTCCATGGGGCACACCCTTGATGGTCTCACAGTGCGGCAAGAGCTCCTGCAGTTGTTATTAAGGATGGAGCTTTAAATTACTTACTTCCACTTTATGTGAAGTGGCTTTCCCCGGAAGGAATGAACAAAACTGAGGACGCCTAGGGGAGCCAATTATTGTTTGAGGCTTTGAAGTGTGCACGTGTGCAGAGGGACGGTGTATTAGGGTTCTCTAGAGGGACAGGATTAATAGGATAGATGTATATATAAAGGGAGTTTATTGAAGAGTATTGACTCACACTATCACAAGGTGAAGTCCCACGATAGGCTGTCTGCAAGCTGAGAAGCAAGAAAGCCAGTCTGAGTCCCAAAACCTCAAAAGTAGGAAAGCCCACAGTGCAGCCTTCAGTCAGCGGTCAAAGGCTCGAGAGCCCCTGGCAAACCGCTAGTGTAGGTCCAAAAGTCCAAAAGCTGAAGAACTTGGAGTCCGATGTTCGAAGGCAGGAAGCATCCAGCAGGGGAGAAAGATGCAGGCTGGAAGACTCAGCCAGTGTAGTCCTTCCACGTTCCTCTGCCTGCTTTTATCCTAGCCGTGGGCAGCTGATTAGATGGTGCTCACCCAGACTGAGGGTGGGTAGGCCTCTCCTAGTTCAGTGACACAAATGTTATATCCATTGGCAACACCCTCACAGACACACCCAGGAACAATACTTTGCATCCTTCAATCCAAGTCAGTTTCAGTCAAGTTTTCTTTGATGATTTCCCACATAGTGATATTCACTAAGGGAGACTTCCCAGTTGAAAACCTGGATGGCCTCATGACTGCACATTGAATCCCGTTTCTTGAAAAGGTTACGCTGGGCGCGGTGGCTCGCACCTGTAATCCCAGCACTTCGGGAGTTCGAGACAGGTGGATCACTTGAGGTCAGGAGTTCGAGACCAGCCTGGCCAACATGGTGAAACCCCGTCTCTACTAAAAATACAAAAATTTGCCAGGCGTGGTGGTGCATGCCTGTAGTTCCAGCTACTTGGGAGGTTGAGGCAGGAGAATCGCTTGGACTCGGGAGGCAGAGTTTGCAGTGAGCCAAGATCCTGCGCCACTGCACTCCAGCCTGGGCAATAGAGTGAAACTCTGTCTCAAAGAAAAAAAAAAGTTGGTTAAAATGGCCAGGCAGTGCACTTGTGTGCCAAAAGGAATGTTCTAGAGAATCAACACACCTCTAATCCTGATGTTGAGATTCAATAAGGACCAAGAGCCCTCTAGATAAGTAGAACTCAAACTTTAGATTGTTTAGGAACTACCCAGGGTGCTTGTTGATATGCAGATTCCTGGATCCCCCAGAAATTCTGTGGGACCAAGGAGGTGGAGGTGTGGACTGGGGATTTTTAGCAGGTGCCTCAAGGTAAGTCTGATGCTGGTAGTCTGATCCATATGATTACTTTTCATATGTAAAAAGAAGAAAAAAATCCATGAAATTCTTACCCAATGAAATCTGATGTGTCATATAAAGGTTGAGCTGCTTCAGGTGATGTAGCAGGTGAGGAGCTCAGAGTTCTCCCCATTCTACCCTGTGCTGTGCCCTCCACGCTTGTATTAATAAAGCCACTATTTATTTATTAGCTGCTGGAGGTATTGCGGACAAAGTAATGAATAAAATAAACCAAATTCCAGTTCTCATGGGACTCTTCTACCTGCAGGGAAGGCAGGCAATACACAAATTAGCTAATGAGTAACTTGCAGGTTGTGCTAAGTGCTGTGAAGGCAAATATAGCCGTGGGGAGGGGACAGAAATACTGGAAGGGGGATGTCAGGCCATCTGAAAAGGCATTTGAGTAAGGACCTGGATGCAGTGAGGGAGTAAGGCATGAGAAGATTTGTGAGGAAAATGTTCCAGGAAGAAGGCATGGCAAGGGTGAAGGCTATGAGGCTGGAATAAGCTAAGAGTATTACAAGAAGACCAAGCAGGGGAATGAAGCTAGAGGGAGTGTGCAGACAGGTGGGTAGGGGCCAGGTCACTTGCAGCCTTGCCTGTGACTTTGCACAGGCCCTGTGCATAGTAAGGTGTTTGTATTTCATTTTAGGAATGATGGAAACCATGTCCTCATGTAATCTTCCCAACGATCTTATGAAGAAGGTCCTACTATTTATGGCCATTTTACAGTTAGGGAAACTGAGGCATAGAGCGATGAAGACATTCACAACTTCTAAGTGGGAATATGAGGATTTGGACCTCAGGGTGACTTCAGAGGCTACTGTTCACTACCACACAATACCATCTCCTATATATCTCAGGAGTTTAGCATCAAATTCTACATGATAGATCCCTTATGGAGCTGCAGTAGGGTATAGTGTGAAATTATTTTGGCCACTTGCTAGTTGTCTCTTCTTGGATTAGGAATTTACATTTCTGAGCTACGTAAAATAAGAAGGCTATTTTCCCATCTAATTCATTTTATTGGGTTTTGATGAAGAAGAATACATGTGCTTTATAAACTATAAAATGCAACATAAGTATTGTGAATCATCTCCACTGAGTTTGATTTAACCCTTGTTTCCTTTGAGAAAGTCAAAAATCCCTTCTGATTTGTGGAAATTTGAAACCTCATTGAGTCAACTCTTGGGTCAAAGGGAAATCACACTGAAATTATGAAATATTTAGAGAAAGAGGTAATAAAAATACATATCAGTTTCTTTAGGATATAGCTAGTGCAGTGTGCAAAGGCAAGTTCATAGTCTTAATACGGTTCTTCTGAGAGTGAAAGTATCACATAGTGATGACAATCATGAGCTCTGGAATCAGACTTGGATTGAAATCTGAATTTTGCCACTTCTGAGCTATGTGATCTTGGATAATTGCTTAACCTCTCTAAGCCTTAGAGTTAGTCCAGTTTCATTATCTGGGAAGTGGCAATGGTAGTAACCTACCTGATAGGGTTTTGTGCTGGCTGTTCCCTCTGCTTGAAATGTTTGTCTTGTGTGGTTGGCTCTCTTATTTCATTCAGGTTTTTGTACAACATCACAGCCCCTTATGCTTTATTTTTCTTTATCTCATTTATGACTTCCTGACCTTATATTGTGTATTTATTTTTTGTTTGTTTCCTTCTATAGAGGTCATCTATGTGAGAGTAGAGACTTTGTCTTGGTCATTGCTGAACCTGTAGGAACTAGAGCTGTGTTTAGTGCACGGAAAATTTACGGCACATCTGTTGAATGAATGAGTGGGTGCATGGTGGGGCTGAGCAGAAGGATAAGACAATGGATATAATCACTTAGCAGAGCACCTCACTCACTGTGAGCCCTCGGTGAATGTTGGAGGTTTGTTCTTGGCTTCCACTCCTTCTTACAAGGTGATCTCTTCAAAAATCTAGATTATAATCTTCTTGAAGGAAAGAAAGGTGCCTTTCACAGTTCTGTGTTTCCTGCTCATGCTAGGCACATTGAGGTGGCTGAGTGAATGCTTTCATTGAGAGAACTGAGGTATAGGGAAGTGAGATTAGCACCTCTATGATGTCTATCATTCCTTTTATTGCTGGGCACAATGAAGTTGCTCAATAAATATTTGTTGAGCAAATGAATGAACAAAAACAATCTTTTTATGCACAGCATTAAATGGAGTGGACTGTGGAAATGTAGATGTATTAGTCTGTTCTCATGCTGCTAATAAAGACACACCTGAGACTGAGTTATTTATAAATGAAAGGAGGTTTAATGAACTCACAGTTCCATATGGCTGGAGAGGCCTCACAATCATGGCGGAAGGTGAAAGAGGAGCAAAGGCATGTCTTACATGAAAGAAAGTGCGTGCAGGGGAACAACTGCCATATATGAAACCATCAGATCTTGTGAGACTTATTCACTATCATGAAAATAGCATGGGAAAAAACCTGCTCCCATGATTCAATTATCTCCCACGGGGTCCCTCCCACGACATGTGGGGATTATGGGAGCTACAATTCAAGACGACATTTGGGTGGAGACACAGCCAAATCATATCAATATATAAAGTCAAATTCAAAGAGATGCTCAATGCCTGGGTGCATTATTTAGATCCTGCGAGCCCTCCTGCCTCGCTCTTTCTCTCTCTCCACTGCATTCTCAGCAGCTGCACTTTGCCTTCTCCAAGGCCAGTTAAGCCCGTTTTCTGGGGGTGTGGGGCCTGTGGGTGTAGAACTGAACCCAGATCCCACTCTGCCCTTACCAAGAAGCCAGTGGACATAGGAGGCAGATGGTAACCTGGCAATTAGACCACAGTGTGACATGTGGAGCAGCACAGGGGTACCAGGAACATTCTAAAGGGGCTGTAATTCAGCTGGGGGAATCTGGAAGGCTACTTGGAGGTACAGACACCTAAAGTGAAATCTGAAGGATGGACAGAGATTAAATTAGGGGAGGAGAAAGGAGTGGGATTCTTGGGGGAAGGGGGGAGAGTGTTCCAGGCAGAGGAACAGCATATGCAAAGGCCTTGAGGCAGGAGAAACACAGGGTTTCTGGTATGGATGGAGGAAGAAGACCAGGCTGGTAGAGGGGGCGATTAGTAGAATTATGGAGAGATGAGGCTGGAGGGGGAAGTGGGGGCCAACCCAGGAGGGTTGGTACACCCAAAACTCCTGCCCAGGCCTCACTACTCACTGGCCCACCTTATTCCTGCCTCTTAACTTTGTTCTCAGGCTTCCTCTTACAAACTGTGCTTTCTCTCCTCCTTAGGGCTAATCAAATTCCTGGTGACTTCAGCCCATTTAACTCCCCATCCCTAGTATCTGTCCTCAACTCTGCTCCTGCAACAAATAAAAACAACCCTTACTCTCTCAGTTCCAACCACCATGGCCTCCTTGCTGTTCCTTGAACATCTCTAAGAACATGTCCTGCCTCAGGACCTTTGCACTGGCTGTTCCCTCAGCCTGGAATGCTCTTCCCTGGGAGATTTGCCTGGCTCTCCCATTTCCTTCAATTCTCAACATACATGACCCCTCCCCTGACCAACCTGTTTAACATTACACCTCCTCTCACTTTCTAGCCATCTCTGGCTTGCGTTATTTCTTTTTAATCACAACAATGAACACTTTATAAATCCATTTGTTCATTCGTCTCTTGTCTGTCTCCCCTGCCCCTGCACCATTTGCTCCATGAGGGCAGGGACCCTGTCTGTATCCCTGGTAAGTGGAACACAGAAGATGCATAATAAACATTTGTGGAATGAAAAATAGTAAATTGTGGTGGCTCACGCCTGTAATCCCAGCACTTTGAGAAGCTGAGGTGGGCGGATCACTTGAGGTCAGGAGTTCAAGACCAGCTTGGCCAACGTAGTGAAATTCTATCTCTACTAAAAATATAAAAATTATCTGGGCGTGATAGTGCACACCTGTAATCCCAGCTACTTGGGAGGCTGAGGCAGGAGGATCGCTTGAACCCAGGATGGGGAGGTTGCAGTGAGCTGAGATCATGCCACTGTACTCCAGCCTGGGTGACAGAGCAAGACTCCATCTCAAAAAAAAAAAAAAAGTAAAGGAAAAATAATAATAGGGCCAGGCTCTGGACTGCTTGCATCATAGACTTTAACTGATTTCATTTACATGACACTGATTTCTTCTTCTATGATTTTTACCCATTAGTGCTGAGAAAAGAGGCTCAGAGAGGACAACGGATTCGCCTAGGGTCACAGAGCCAGTGAGTGGCACAGCTGGAGTGGCATTTCAGTGTGGCTGTTTCCACTGAGCTCTTGCAGCCACCAGCCTCGGAGACCACCCTGCTGAATGAGGGTTCCAGTCTCGACTCAATCACCTTTCACCCAGTGACCTTGAGCAGGTCCTTTCTCTCTGGTGTTAGAATCCCATAAGCCATAGAATACCAGAAAGCCTGTGTTGTTTCTGTAACCCACAAAGATAGCACAGCCCCTCCTCATTCCATGAGTCCCCCAGTGGGGTGGACATCAGGGCTCAGTGTCATGGAAATGGCTCATGGGGTGACTCAGATTTGGCTCAGGCTCAGGGCTGCATTGTTTTAGAGATGAAACAGAGCACCTTAGGACCGCTGGATGAATTTGAATGGCAGTTATATTTTGTTCAACCTAAAGTGTGTTTGAAATAATTTTATTTAATTTCTATGTTTAAAAATTGAGAAGTCTCATGTAAAATTCCAGATTTCCACTTCTCTTAAAATCTAAAACTAATCCCAGGTAGCAACACTTAGGTGATACTGAGGAGCACCTTTAAAAAAAATTAGTTAATTAAGAGATGCGGTCTCACTCTGTTGCCCAGGCTGGACTGCAATCATAGCTCAACCTCGAAACCTTAGGTTCAAGTGATCTTCCTGCCTCAGCCTCCCGAGTAGTTGGAAATACAGGCACGTGCCACCACACCCAGCTAATTTTAAAAAAGTGTTTTTTAGCTTTTGGGTTTTTTTGGTAGAGATGGAGTCTCACTATATTGCCTAGACTGGTCTTGCACTCCTGGCCTCAAGGGATCCTCCCACCTCAGCCTCCTAAGTAGCTGGTACCACAGGTGTATGCCACCACACCCAGATAATTAATTTTTGAAAATAGAGATGGGGTCTTGCTGTGTTGCCCAGGCTGGCGTCAAACTCCTGGGCTCAATGATCCTCCCACCTCAGCCTCCTGAGTAGCTGGGACCACAGGTGTGTGCCACCACACCCAGATAATTAAAAAAAATTTTTAGGAGATAGGATTTTACTATGTTACCCAGGCTGGTCTTGATCTCCTGGCCTCAAGCGATCCTCCCACCTCAGCCTCTCAAAGTGCTGGGATTGCAAGTGTGTGTGAGCCACTGCACTGGCCCTGCAGAGCGCCATTCTATGGGCATGTGCCTCCTTGTTTGCTCCCTGTCCCATGAGGTCACTTCTCTCATTTAGTGGTCCCTGTAGCCATTTGAGTTGGAGACCTCTGGTGAGTTTTATTTTATTTGAACTGAACTTCAGTACCAGTTAAGCACAGGCTGTGACGTGCTGAACTTTTCACTTTCAGAATGGCGTCCAGTAAATCAATCCTGGGTATGATGCCATGCCGGGCTGTTCTTACAGATGCTATGGGAATTGTGTGGCTCCATTTCTGCACTCTGCATTGTTTTGGTGATTTGTGCTCGGAAATGAAATCACTGCTTGGATACTGCTAGACTGCAGGGACAGATAACTCAGTAGAACTCCTCACCTGCCTTTGAGGCAGTCTGTGATGTATTGTCATTTATTTCTTTTCATCTGTGGTTTTATGTTTGTGTCTGCTACATTCTGAAGTCTTAATTCAGAAGCTCGAGCCAGGTCATCCAGTTAAAAACTTCCTGGCAATCGTCCCTCAGTATCCCCGGGGTTGGTTCTAGGACCCCCTTGGATACCAAAACCTGTGGGTTCTCAAGTCGCTGACATAGAATGGTGTAGTATTCGCATGTAACCTATGCATGTCCTCTTTGCATACTTTAAATCACTTCGAGATTATTTAAATACCTAATACAATGTAAATGCTATGTAAATAGTTGTTATACTGTATTGTTGGTTGGGCATAGTGGCTCACACCTGTAATCCTAGCACTTTGGGAGGCTGAGGTGGGTGCATCCCTTGAGGCCAGGAGTTCAAGACCAGCCTGGGTAACATGGCAAAACCCTGCCTCTACCAAAAATACAAAAATTAGCCAGTCTCATAACCTGGTCTCAGAATAAATAAACAAATAGATTAAAATTAAAATAAAATAGTTGTTATACTGTATTGTTTTAAAATAGTTATTATTATTATTATTTTTTGAGATGGAGTGTCTGTCACCCAGGCTGGAGTGCAGTGGTGTGATCTTGTTTCACTGCAACTTCTGCCTCCCGGGTTCAAGCGGCTCTTCTGCCTCAGCTTCCCAAGTAGCTGGGATTACGGGCACACGCCACCATGCCTGGTTAATTTTTGTATTTTTAGTAGAGATGGGGTTTCACCATGTCAGCCAGGCTGTTCTCGAACTCCTGACCTCACGTGATCTGCCCGCCTTGGCCTTCCAAAGTGCTGGGATTATAGGCATGAGCCACTGTCCCTGGCTGCTGTATTAATTTTTATTTTGGAAAATTTTCGATCTGTGGTTGGTTGAATCCGTGGATGCAGAACCTGCAGATACTGATGGCCGACTGTATATCCTGTTTGTGTGCTGACTTGAGTGTGTGTCTCCTCTGTGGCAGAGACAATAATGTTCCTCAGGTGGTCCCGGCACTTCTCCATTCCCAGACCCTTGTAGTTAAGCGGGGCCACACGACTTATTCCTGTCAATGGGCTATGAGCAGAAGGGGCATACATCACCCCCAGGCCTAAGCCTGGGAAAGCCTGTGTGAGTTTTCTGTGTTCTTTTTTCTGCTGTATGGAGTCTGAAGGCCTCATGGTGAAAATGTGGAATCAGGGTATCATTTGAACTTGGTGTTATGGTCTGAACATTATGTCTCCCTAACTTTATATGTTGAAACTCCAGCCCCAACATTATGTGAGGGGATGGGGCTTTGGGAGATGATTAGGACCTGAGAGTGGTGCCCTTATGAATGGGATTAGTGCCCTAATAAGAAGAGACACCAGAGAGCTTGCTGCCTCTCTCTCTCTGCTCATGTGAGGATACAACGAGAAGACAGTCATCTGTAAACCAGAAAGGGGATGCTCACCGGAACCCAATCTGCTGGTACCTTGATTGTGAACTTCTCAGCCTCCAGAATTGTGAGAAACAAATGTTTGCTGTTTGAGCTGCCCAAATTTATGCTAATTTATTATAGCTGCCAGAGCTGATTAAAACACCCGGATTTCTGAGTTACTAGACCTGCAGCAGACTCTATGAGGGAGGAGTAAACTTTTGTTGTGTTAAGCTGGTGGGATTTTGGTGTGTTTGTTACACAGCAGAACCTAGTCCATCCTGACCGATACATTCTCTATTAGAATTGATGAGTAGGAACTGCACATCCATGTCTAGAAAAGCTCTTGACAGCCAGTGCTCAAGAAATATTACAGAATGAATAAAAGAACAATTATGGTTTGTGTTATTAGACTCTACATATACCTACTCTTTTTCTCATAGATGGTGCGTTAGATTGGAAGGCCACCTTCCTGTGAAGGAAGGGAGAACCAACTCTTATTGAGTGCTGTCTATTGTGCTAATTATTATCCACATCTAAAGATAAAATGAGTTCCAGGGAGATTAGGCAGTTATCCTGGGGTTATAGAGCTATCTAAGAGTGGTTCTGCTAGAATGACTCCTACCCATCTTTTCAGTTGTCTATAGGTCTTGACTTTAATGCCACCTCCTCAGGGAAGCCTTCCTTGATCACTAGACTGGATTAGTTGTCACTGTTATATGCTCCCCTAACTCCTGGTACTTCCCCCATATAACACTTACTTCCCTTCAGATTTTGAGTGCTCTGAGAGTAGATCCTGTGTCTGTTTTGCTCAATGTGGTATATTCAGCACCTAGTATAGTACCTGGTACATAGTAAATGCTCAATATATGTTTGTTGGTTGAATAAAGACAGTCAGGAAACTTAGACTTTTGTTTCGGTACTGCCTCTAATCAGTTGTGTTATTCTGGACCAATAGTTTTATCTCTCTGACTTCTAGTATTCTCATTTGTACAAAAAGGGTGCTTGATTAAATTTGTTCTTTTTGGCTCTAGCATTCCACAATTATTTCATTCACAAACTACCCTCTCATTCCTTCTCTGGGCCTACTTTTGGGTCACCTTCTGGCCTCTTATTCCGTCTATATTCCTGGAATAATTGACAGAATTGGGAATTGAAGCCAGGCAGTCTAACTACAGAGTCCATAATTTTAACTGCTCATTCCACCCACATACCCACCCACCCATCTCTGTTTATGCAGTCATCTTTCTTCCATCCATTCACACAATCATCCATCCATCCTTCCATCTATCCATCTCATCATCTATCTAATAATCCCTCCCTCCATTTATTCATTCGAGTATCTTCTGTCCAAATATCCATCCATTTTTCAGCAAATACTTTTGAAGTGAGTATTCCATGCTAGGACCTGTGCTGGGGTCCTTGGGTTCCAGCAAAAACAAAACAGATTCTGTTCCTGCCCTCGTGGAGCTCTCAGTCTAATTAGTTCTGGGGAATTTCTCTTTAGTTGCTATTGATGTGGGAGGTTGAAATAATGTCCAATGTGTGAGCTGGAGCTCTTTGGTTGATTTTATTGTATTGGTTTTTGTATCCTCATGGATAATATAATGCTACTTTGTTATTATTGTTATGCATAAAGGTATTGATTAATTAATTCACCAATGTTCATTGAGCACTCGCTATATTCCAGGCATTGTGTTCGATGCATGCAAGTCCCAACTTTTCCACAACTCTAGAGAGCATTACTCACATGGTATTCTATTTGATTCTGGAGTTGCACAGCATAGTGGAAACAGGCATTTGTCACTCTTATGAAGGAGTCCACAGCCTAGCATAGTAATTAAGAGCTTGGGCTCTGGGTCTGGACAGCCTGGTCTTGAGTCCCATTTCCACACTTACTGGCTATGTAATTTTGTCAAATCACTTCACCTCTCTGTGCTTCCATTTTTCTCACCTGTAAAATAAGGATAATAACTGCTAAATTCAGTGAGTTTTTACATGGCTATGAGTTAATTCATGAAAAAGCTCTCAGAATAGTACTTAGCACCTAGTAAATGCTCAATAAAAAGATCGATGAGCAGCTTAGATATATCTCTTACTTGGTGGCTTTCTTTAATGGTTTTTCAGATGGGGAAACTGAGTCAAGAGCATAACCTAGCCTAACCTGACATGATAAGCTAAAGCCAGAGCCTATGATAATCAATTAGTGACTATTTACTGATCCAGAGGGTATGTAATCATGCAGCAAAATATTTCCCTTAGCTGAGATACTCCATTTTTGAATGTTTGACTACTGACAACTTCCAAGCCCTCTCCCTCCTCCTTCCCCTTTTGCCTCATATCTGGATAAGCCAATAAGAAATCCTGTGCACTACCTTTTTTGGCATTGGTGGAGAAGTTCACCCACCCACGCAGGACCGTCATTCAACCCCACCCCCCTAACCACAATAAAAACCAAAGCCATTGCCACTCCCTTTGCTCAAGCCATTCCAGACCAGCTTGGGTGTTTTCCCTGCTCTTCTCAGAAAGAAACATTATGTGAGTTAATGATTATTTCCATACTCTTAGTGCATATGTGGCATCATCATTCTTGACATCCAAGCCAATTTTGGGTAGAGTATTGATTTCCGTCCTCCCTGGGGGCAACCACACGATACCAATGCTAACTGAGAATGAAATTTGGAAGAAAAATGGAAGTTCTACTTGGCCTGAAAAAAATGACCCAGCTCCTATGCTGCAGCAATTCCATTTCTCTGACACTACTGGAGAGACTACATAGACATGTGTGAAGGGAACAGCTCCATAGACCATGACACATCTGGTATGGGCTACTCAGCCACCATTAAAACAGTTATGTAGGTTGGTATGTGTGGACGAAGGGTGGGTTCTCAAAACATCATTGAGTGAGAAAAGCAAGATAGATAATTTGTTAAATATGTTCATGGTCTCTTCATTTTTTTGTTTCTTATTTTTGAGACAAGACCTCACTCTCTTGCCCAGGCTGGAGTGCAGTGGTATGATCATGGCTCACTGCAGCCTTGAATTCCTGGACTCAAGTGACCCTCCTACCTTAGCCTCCTGAGTAGCTGGGACCACAGGCATGTGCCACAATGACTGGCTAACTTTTAAAGTTTTTGTCGAGATTGGGTCTCATGATGTTGCCTAGGTCATATGGTCTCTTTACAATTAACTTTTGTGTATGGTGTAAGGTAGGGAGTCAAAGTTTTGGTTTGTATTAGTATCCACATGGATATCCAATTGATCCAGCACCATTTATTCAAACAACCATTATTTTCCCCTTCCTGTGCTCTCAAACTGCAGTAATGCCTTCATTGTAAATCGGGTGACTGGATGTGTGTGGCTCCACTTCAGGACTTAGTATTGTTCTATCAGTCTTTTGTCTATTATTTTGTTAATAGCGCCATATTTTTAATAACTATAGCTTTGAGTAAGACTTGAAATCTGATAGTTTAAGTTTTCCACCCTTCTTCTATATTGCTTGATTTTTGTTAGGTTGTTTGCATATCTATATAAATTTTAGAATCAGCTAATAAATTTCAATAAAAGTAGACCCTAGATTTTTATTTGGATTCTAGTGAATCCGTAAACCATTTGGGGGACAATTAAAATCATAATATTAAATCTTCCAATCCATGGTCACGGGACATTTCTCCATTTATGTAAGTTTTCTTTAACTCCTTTTTGTAATGTTTGTTTTTGTCAGTGTAGAGGTCTTGCTCGTCTTTTGTTAAATTTATTCATAGGTTAAAAACATTTTTGGATTCTGTGGTAAATGGCATTGCATTTTACATTTCCTTTTTTCTACTGTTTGTTGCTAGTGCAGTATACCAACAGAAGGAAGACACATTAACCTTCTCCCACCCAAACTTTTTCCATGACTTAATATATCTGCATAAAATCATAGGAAAAAGCTTGGAACTGTACACACCAAACTGACACAGTGGTTATTTTTGGGGAGGAGGAGAGGGAACTGTGATTGTTGAGAAAAGACGGTGTTCAAGAGGGAATTGATCTTTATCTGTCCCGTTTTAATTCTTATAAAAAAGGGAATGTTTCAATGTATTATTTGTGTAGTTAAAAATCTATTAAAAGAGGCCAGTTGCATTGGCTGATGCTTATAATCCCAGCATTTTGGGGGGCTGAGGCAGGCAGCTCACTTGAGCCCAGGAGTTTAAGACCAGCCCGGGCAACATGGTAAAACCCCACCTCTACTAAAAATGCAAAAAAATTAGCCAGGCATAGTGGTGTGTGCCTGTAGCCCCAAGGCTGGGAGTACAGCCTTGGGAGGCTGAGGTGGGATGATCACCTGCGTCTGGGAGGTTGTGGCTAAAGTGAGATGTGGTTGTGCCTTGGCGATGGGAGTGAGACCCTGTTTCAAAAAAACAAACAAAAATTCTGTTAAAAGAAAAAAGTAAATGACCTATCCCCAATCCTGGCTGGGAGTATGTATGTGATTGATGACTTTGGGGAGCCCAGAAACTTCCACTTGTGTCAGGAAGGTGCATGAAACAAGTTTGTAATTAAAAGCATGAACATCTGGTTGCCCTCTGAAGAGAGACTGTTAACTGAGACTCTATAGAAGTCTCATAGTCTCTATAGAAGTCTCATATAGAAGGAGCATAGACTGGTCAGCTTATGTGTCCAGAACTGTCCAGAAAAGAGGATTCCTAGACCTATAGGCAAGAGAAGCTGACTCATGCATCAGGCAAATCCCTAGAATGGAGCGACCCAACATTATGATTGTCCAATTGACTGTGATTCCAGGACTACAAACAACTTCTGTAGGTCGTTTAGGCTGGGTTCTCCTAGAAGCAGACCCCAAGACAAGGATTTTGAGTGCAAGAGTTTATTTGGTGGGTAATTCCATGAAGCACTAGTAGGGCACCACAGTTGCTGAGGGCAACCGTGCTCAATCCTGCAGACGCCTTCTGGGAGGCTGGGTTGAACATACTGCCATGTCATGCATGGTGTGCAAAGTTGTGTGCATGAGGAAGTATTCTTCATTCACATCAGTCATCCATCAGTTGAGGAAAGCTACAAGGAGTGTTCTCTCATTGACACTTCTGACCTTCTCTATCCACTGACTTAGCATGCTTGGGAAGCCAGAGAACAGACGTTGTCAATTCAGTGTGCAAAGAAAGGTGTTAGGGACATCAGTAGTGTGGGCTATAGCTTCCTGAATATATTCGGAATAGGAAGTAATGTGCTTAGTGAAGAAGGTGAGTTTTTGTCCCCCTGAATGATACTGGTTTTCAATGGAATCAATAAATCAGCCATCTGATTTATACATCATACTCTTATGAGTTTGGCTGGTCTGAGTCTAGACAGACCACCGCCTTTTGAGAGTACTTGGTAAAATTGAATTCCTTAGACTGTAAAACCCAAGAAATCAAGTGTGGAGACTGAAAAGTGAAAAATTGCAGCAGGCAGGGGTCATGAATAAGTGAAGTGGGAGGATGAGGGAGATAATGCACACAAAGTACTCAGCACAGCACCTGGCATGTCGTAAGTGCTTAATAAAAGTTACCAATAGCAGCAGCAGCAGCAGCAACTACTATTTCTGGGGACAGCTTTAAGAAGGGTGTGGAATCTAAGCATAACTCATTGAAAGGGTGCCAAAAAATTTAGGGAACTAGCCAGGAAGAGGTTTAAAACAAAAGTCTCCTTGCCTAATACTGGCCTCTTGTATAGACCTTGTAATTAGGATGACAGTCATTTTCTATTAATTGCAGACTATGATTTTTTTAGGTGTGAGGTTAATTGGTAATATGGGTGTGTAACATGTTCCCCTCAGATATCTTAGACACCAGTAATTAACCTCTTTGTTCCGCAGTGCAGCCATTAATCATTTGTCTGCTAGGCATTCTGCTGTCAGCATCTTGCCACACTGCCTGCTGCATAGGCTTTGACATATTATCAGGACCAACATGGAAGAATAGAAAAATGAGTTGTAGTGTGTGTGTAGCAAGACCAAGTTAACTTTCGATTCATGTGGCCAAGATGGCAGCTGGTTTATCCATGCAGCACCACGAGGCTCAGTGCTGGGTGCTTATAAGGCTTATGAGGGCCTGTGGGGATGTTTGCATCCTAGAAAGAAGTTGTAGCCTCTGAAATAGAAGAAGAAAACCATAAAACTGAATTTAAATTAATACATGTTTCATCTCATGCCTATACAATGCAACATTGCATCAACTACTCAATGGTGACTCAACCCCCAGTTCTCTCTATATTTTATGTGGTTACATTTTAATATTTTTATAAATTGAGGTGAGAACCTCTACTGTCAAGTGTCCAGGGTTTGTATTGACCCTGCCCTGGGCACAGGCTACTGATTGCAATTTGATTTGTAGGAATTTGGTTTATTCAGAAGGCCCCGAATAAATGGGTTAGTTATAGCTTGGAATATTTTTCAACTTGCTCACCTGATTTTTTGGATGTTCTTTGGGACTTAAAAATTTTAACTGTAAAAGAAAATGTATGCTTGTTGAAATAGAATAAATACAACCATGTAGAAGGCAAAGTGTTAGTGGTATCCCACCACCCTTCCCATCTCTAACTGATATTAAAAAAAAGTTAAATGCAGTGTTTCTTAAACTTTCTTAGGGGTTGGAGAGACCTGGCACATAGCTGTCCCGATTTTGCCCCCTGCATAGTGGTTAATAGGCACATCATTTCTGCCACTAACTATCCCAGTGACTTCAGATAAGTGGCTTCACCCTCTCTCAGCCTCAGCCTTCTGGAGTGCATCACGGGATGATAACAGTGTCTGCCTCCGGAGTTGCTGTGAGGACTGAGTGAGTAACTATGCATAGAGAATTCAGCTTTGTACCCGGTACAATTTCTATGCTCAATAAGGGCATTATTTCCTAACCCTGAACCCTGAGCCTGGTGAAAAGAGATTGCATAACATATATTCCTGAGTCACAGTGGTGCAATTTTCCAGTGTTTGCAGATTTAGGGCACTCCCTTGGGGTATAATTAGAGTCAGATTTTGGAAAAGGTTGATCCACTCAGTCATCTGTTTTCTTCTTCTTAATTTAAATACAGGGCATACTGCAAGGTGCTCTCCCCAGGTTGTGCTGAATAATTAATGCCAGCTCTGATAATCCTGCCTGACTTAAAAATGGTTCATTATTACCGATAACAACCATGACAATTTACTGAGAGCTCACTGCCTGCCCTAAGTCCTTTTTCTGTCATAAGGTGTGAGGTTAAGCAGTTGGGATTGTGAGACAGAGATCTGAGTTCCATCCTACTCTGGTCTCCTCCAAG
The DNA here is from genome assembly GCF_000001405.40 of Homo sapiens. Classification (NCBI taxonomy): domain Eukaryota; kingdom Metazoa; phylum Chordata; class Mammalia; order Primates; family Hominidae; genus Homo; species Homo sapiens. Next base: position 112,600,480 of record NC_000012.12, read on the forward strand.
CAGTATGTCTTCAGTCAAATAACTTCCTCTCTCTCTGAGCCACTGTTTCCTCAACCGTAAAATGGGACACTATTAGCTACTCACTGCTCTGTCTGAGACCACCTTGGCCTGGACTTCATTGTCCATATCACTATCAGCATTTTGGTCAAAACCATTCAACAAGTCTCTAGGAAGTTCCAAACTTTCCCACGTCTTCCTTCTTTTTTTGAACCCTCTGAACTGTTCCAACCTCTGCCTGTTGCCCAGTTCCAAAGTCATTTCCACATTTTGGGCTATATTTACAGCAGTGTCCCACTACCTCAGTACCAATTTACTATATTAGTCCGTCCTCATGCTGCTAATAAAGACATACCCAAGACTTGATAATTTATAAAGAAAAGAGGTTTAATTGACTCACAGTTCCACATGGCTGGGGAGGCCTCAGGAAACTTACAATCATGGTGGAAGTCACCTCTTCACAGGACGGCAGGAGAGAGAATGCATGCAAGCAGGGGAAATGCCAGATGCTTATAAAACCATTAGATCTCATGAGAGGCACTCATTATCACGAGAACAACATGGGGGGAACCGCCCCCATGATTCAATTACCTCCACCTGGTCCTGCCCTTGACACGTGGGGATTACCAGGATTATAATTCAAGGTGAGATTTGGGTGGGGACACAGAGCCAAATCGTATCAGTAGCTGTGTTGAGGATTAAATGCACAATTAATGCAAAACTCCTAGCCTGAAGTTGGCAGGCTGCAAGCACTTGATAAATGTTAACTTTTATTATTATCTTCATGTTCTTTAACCCTTACAGCAGTCCTTTGGGGTAAATAGGAAAAATGTTTGGCTCATTTCCTAGGACATACCTCTGAAAAAACAGGAGCCTTCAACAGTTAATTCTATTTCCTTTTATAATCTTTTGCACAGTGTGTTTGGGAATGGGGATGTAAATTTGCCCTATCAACAGGAAAGTGGATTTGTACATTATATTCATGCCACTGAAAGTGAGTGAGCCAGGGCTCTGTGAATCAGCGTGGGTGAATCCCCCAAAAAACGTGCCAAGAAAATAAAATCAAATTGCACAAAAAAGTACATATAGACTATTTTTTAACATAAAGTTTAAAAATATGCACAGCAACTACATAAAGTTAGGGATAAACATTATACAAGTAGATTATAAATAGACTGGGCATAGTGGCTCATGCCTGTAATCCCAGCACTTTGGGAGGCCGAGGTGGGCGGATCACTTGAGCACAGGAGTTCACTACCAGCCTGGGCAACATGGCAAAACCACGTCTCTATAAAAAACAAAAAAATTAGCCAGGTGTAGTGGCACACACCTGTGTAGACTGTGGTCCCAGCTTCTTGGGAGGCTGAGGTAGGAGGATTGCTTGAGCCTGGGAGGTCCAGGCTGCAGTGAGCTGTGATCATGCCACTGCACTTCAGCCTGGGTGACAGAGCGAGACTTTGTCTCCAAAAAATAAACAAACCAGCCAAATAGGTAATAAAAGTATAAAAACAGCATGAGGCTGGAGTAACACCTACTTCAGAATAGAGGCTCCCTCTGCAGAGGCAGAGGTGGGTATTGCTGAGGCGGGGCACACAAGAGCCTTCAGATAGACTGGGGATGTTTACTTCTTAATCTGCTCCTGGGGCCATTTATTCTTCTTCACGCCTTTCAAAATATGTCTCAAGTAGGTAATAGTAATTTAAAAACTTGCAACTCAGCCATTGGGAGGGTTTTGTTGGCCTCTTTAACCAAGTCCTTTAACCTTCTTTAATCCCCATTCCTTCCACTCCTTCATGGTGCCTTTCTAACAAAGCCCTCTGCCTTTCTAACAAAGCCCCCTCTAAGAAAGCCTGCCGCCCAGGCTCAAAATGGAGCTTGCTGGCCGCCAGGATCTCAATTTGCATGTTAAAGGAGTACCTGCTTTATCCATCTGCGTTTTAATTACAGTTCACCTCCCTGGCTTACCATCCAAACATTCCCAGACACTTGATGACTGTTTTTGGGGGAGGAAGCTAGAGGAAGGAGTGTTCTCATCACTGCAGAAAGGAGGCCAAACTTAGTAGGGGCAGGGCTAAGACAAGTCATGGTATGTGTCAAGGCTCCCCTACCCCAATCCAAACATATTTATAAATGTGAAGTTTTATTAAAATGAATAGTGTAAAATTAACCAGGCGTGGTGGTGCATGCCTGTAATCCCAGCTACTCAGGAGGCTGAAGCGGGAGGATTGCTTGAGCCCAGAAATTTCGAGGCTGCAGTGAGTTGTGATCACACCACTGCACTCCAGCCTGGGCGTCACACAATGGGACGCTATTAAAAGAGAGAAAAAAAAAGAGTAGGAGAAAGAGAGTAGCAGAAAGGAAATATCTTTTCTTTCCATCTTAGGTTCATGGCTGGGGCTCCTACAGCAAAAGACAGATTAACAAGAGAAAAAAATATAAATGTATTTAAGTTTTAAGTGATATGGGAGCTATTGGAAAGATAAAGACCCAAAGAAACAGGGAAATCTGTGTATTTTTCCTGTGATGAGGGTGTGATGGGAAAGTAGATAGTCATGGAGAAGTATGATTGGACAAAAGGGGTATGATCTAATGGTAATAAACTGGGGGAACTTAACAAGGCCTGTTTGTTCAGACTCCTGTGTCTTCAGAGATTAGGATGCTCCTTTCCCCCAGGTGTAGGGAGAGCATCTGTTGAATGACTGTCTTATGATTGCTTCAAGGGAGAAGGTGAGAGAGACCTTCCTGCTTCAGCTGTTTTCTCAAATATCAAGGTGCTATATTTTGGAGTAGTGTGTCCTGAGTCCCATTAGTAGCAAAAGCACTCTTGAAGATTTACTGGAAAGGGATCTCATTCCAGACCCCAAGAGCGAGTTCTTGAATCTAGCACAAGAAAGAATTCTGGGTGAGTCCACAGTGCAAAGCAAAAGCAAGTTTATTAAGAAAGGAAAGCAGTTGAAAGGACAGCTACTCCATAGACAGAGTAGGGCGTTCCTGAAAGTAAGAGGAGGAACACACCCACCCTAGGTATAATGCTTGTATATACATAGGATAACAACAAAAACAAAAAAATCATGGGAAGATGTACAAGGGTTTGTGATAAAGATTCAATTTTCTTAATTACTATATTTTGTAAGAATCAATATTATTATCTTTAAAGCAAAATTAGGAATGCTTTTGTTCTCAAGATATCGGGTTAACAGGACATTCCTCGGCTTGGGACTTTTTAGTAACATTATGAATCTGTTCTCTTAACCATAAACATCTACATGCTAGAAATACCCAACACCCTGGGAAAACAGCCCAGCAAGTCCCAGTCTCATTTTTCTTCGCCCTCACTCAAGATGGAGTCACTCTGGTTTGAATGCCTCTGACAAAGGGAAAGGGATGTAATATAACCCAGCCCCCCAGCATACTGCCTAGTTGAATGTGTGCTTGTGTGTGTGTTGGTTGGTTTGTTGGTTGTGGAAGGCAGGAGGGGACACATTAACCAGGCAACTGGTTCTGGTCTTCTCTTGGCAATTGCTGGCCATTTTATCTGGAACCCCAAGGTAGGCAAAGTTCTAAATAAGTACATTTTGCAGGTGACTGAATCATAAGCCATTGAGGTAATCAATCTTTATGTGCAGAATATGAGGTTCAGAGAGGTTAAGTGATTTTCTCAAGAGCACACAGCTGGTAAAGTGGCAGAGCTGATACCTGAAGCCTAGATCTGTCTGAACTCAAGGGATTGTGTGCTTATCAATTTGCTAGTGTGTTGCTATAACTTTTCAATTTTACTGAGGGTGACTTTACTGGCAACCATTTCAAGAATCACCCCCTACCCACCTTTAAAAATTGTGTTGCTTTCTAAAAGAGGATACAGAACAATTTAACTTTTTTCCATGTTATAAAAGTCAGTCATCTGTGCTGAGAGTTACACTCTCAGGTGTGTTTGAGGGGAAGGTAGGGAGGGAAACTAGCATATATTCAGCAACTACAACATGCCAGGCATTTGCTAGACATTTTATGTATTCCTACTTATGTTCCCTATCCTCACTTTTTATTCCCATTTTACAGATAGAGAAATGGTGTCTCACTGTATTAGTTTTCTATTACTAGGTAACAAATTAACCCAACATGTAGCAGCTTACATGTTGGGTTAATTATATAAGTGACATTTACGATCTCATGTACTTTCTGAGGATCAGCATTTCAGTATAGCTTAGCTGAGTGATTCTGGCTGAAGGCCTCTCATGAGGTTGTAGTCAGAATGTAGCAGGGGCTGCCACCCTCTGAAGGCTTGACTGGGCTGAAAAATCCACTTCCAGGATGGCACACTCACATGATTGTTGGCTGGAGGTCTCTCAGTTCCTTGTCTCGTGGATCTTTCCATAGCTCTGCTTAAGTGACCTCCCAACATGGCAGCTGGCCACCCCCAGAGTGAGCAATCTGAGAGAGGCAGAGACCAAGATGGAAACCTTCCGTGACCTAGCGTCTGAAGTTGTGTATTGTTAATTCTGCTTTATTCTGTTTGGTAGAAGGGGAGGAGAATTCAAGGGGCTCTACCTTCAAGGGCTTTACCTCTTGAAGTGGGGAGTATCAAATAATCTGTAGACATTTTAAAACCACCACACTCAGGACAGGTGCAGTGGCTCATGCCTGTAATCCCAACACTTTGGGAGACCAAGGTGGGCAGATCACCTGAGGTCAGGAATTCAAGGCCAGCCTGGCCAATATGATGAAACCCCATCTCTACCAAAAATACAAACATTAGCCAGGCATGGTGGCACACACCTATAACCCCAGCTACGTGGGAGGCTGAGGCAGGAGAATGGCTTGAATCCGGGAGGCAGAGGTTGCAGTGAGCTGAGATTGCACCACTGCATTCCATCCTGGTTGGCAGAGCAAGACTCCATCTCAAACAAACAAACAAACAAACAAAAAACAAAAACAAAAAAATCCAAACGAAACCGAACAAAACAAAAAACAAAACCAACAACAACAAACCACTAGACTCAGAAGTGCAGTAACCTGCCAAAGCTTATACAACTTATGGGTGGTGGAGGTTGGACATGCCCATAGTTCTAGCTGGCTCCATACTCTTCACTGAACTGTCATTTCTCCTGAGGAATGGAGCACTCTTTGCCCTTGTATTAAATAGCCCTAGCCTGCAAGCCTTTTTATTTAGAGTTCCTCTCAGCTCTTTCTATATCTGCCCAGCTTTCATCCATTATATCCAAGCAAGTCTTTCTCCCCTAAGCCTTTTGTGACCTAAGTCAGAGTTTTCCATCTCCTGTGGAACTGGGAAACCTAGTAACTACTAGCGTGCATCGTGTGTCAACCAAGAGGCAGTGGGCTCTGAGTGAATATCTGGGGTTCCCCCTTTAGCCAGTGGGTTTTATAACATTTTGGAGTGCTCAGAAAGATTTCTTCCTCTCTTCCTGAAATAATTATATGGGTCTGTTCAATTTATCCTTTGTATAACTCTTCCTAACTCTCCAAGGTCATTCATATGGAGTGTATCACTCGATTCTCACAAAAATTCTGTTAAAAAAGTGGGGGCGAGTGATATAATCTTCTAGATAGCTGAGGTGTTGAGCAGCCACTTATCTATGTATCTTTCTTCTCTTAGTACCTGCTTGGCCCTGGCTCCTTCCCTTCCACAAGCTGTGACTCTATGTACTGTGCTACATGAGCTCACGGTCTCGGAGATAATATTTTAATTTGCATATGCTCTTGTGAAACGAGAACAGGTTTGTGTTAAGATTTGAGTTCAACTTCTAGCATTTACTAGAATTTACCACTTACCAACTTTACTATTTACTCGCTGTGGGTTAGGGTTAGGGCAAGTATATTAGTCTAGTTCTCATATGCTATAAAGAACTACCAGAGACTGGGCAATTTATAAAGAAAATAGGGTTTTTGTTTGTTTGTTTGTTTTTGTTTTTTTTGAGATGGAGTCTGTCACCAGGCTGGAGTGCAGTGGCGCCATCTCGGCTCACTGTAATCTCTGCCTCCCAGTCTCAAGCAATTCTTGTGCCTCAACCTCCTGAGTAGCTGGGATTACAGTGCCCGCCACTATGGCTGGCTAATTTTTGGATTTTTAGTGGAGATGGGATTTCACCATGTTGACCAGGCTGATCTTGAACTCCTGACCTCAAGTGGAGCAAATAGGCTTAATTGGCTAGAATTCTGCAGGCTGAACAGGAAGCGTAGATGCGGAGGGCTCAGGAAACTTACAATCATGGTGGAAGGTGAAGGGGAAGCAGCATGTCTTCAACAAGGCAACAGGAGAGAGTGAGAGAAGGGGGAGGTGCTAAACACTTTTGAACAACCAGGTCTCGTGAGAACTCACTCAGTATCATGAGAACAGCAAGGGGGAGCTCCACCCCCATGATCCAGTCACCTCCCACCAGGCCCCTCCTCCAATGTTGAGGATTACAATTCAACATGAGATTTGGGTGGGGACACAGATCCAAACCACATCAGCAAGCAACTTCACTTCTTTGGATCTTGCTTTTCGTATCTGTAAAATGGGGATAAAACAGTACCTACTTCATAGGACCTTTAAGGGGGGGATCAGATAATACATAAAAAGTGATTAGCTCAATGGGTGGCAGAGAGTCAACACTTAAAGGCACCACACACTGCTACTTATAGATGCCACTTCCCTATGCACCAAGATCCCAGCTTGCTGTGTGACTTAGGGAAGTTGCTTGGCCTCTTGGGGCTACTTTCATTTGTAAAATGCATGGGTTCAATTGCATAATATCAGAGGTTCCTTCTGGCTTGAACAATTCACCATCCTCAGATTGTTTATATAGCACACCCATACTATTTATTTTCAAAAGTCTATTCATAGTATCCTACTTGTAATAATTTTAGATAATAGTTGCACAGATTTAATAGAAGCCAGGTGAATTGTTCAGCATTTTTTAAATGCAGGAATTGAACAATATATTTATGTACATAATTACCCGTTTTTTTCCTTTGCAATCTAAAAGGGCATATTAAAAATTGAGCAATGATTTCTTTCTCCTCCTGTTGGGTCAAGGAACTGGCTAATGCAGTTTTATGTTAATTGGAAGACACACTAAATGGCATAGCTAAAAGAAAGAGAAGTACTCAGTTGTAGAAGTGCTTTTTAATCACCTACCTGAATTTGAGCATCTGAAGGGTTTCCAGCAAGTTATGCGGCCCTTGAGGGAATACTTGTTCTGTCCTCACTACAGAGTTGATAAATAAACGATTTCTTGAGTGTGGCTCTTGGTGAAATTCTCAAACATCAATGAACCAGATTTGTCTTAGCTTCTCTCTGCAATTTCTCTTCCTCCTAAATGCCTTGCTGTGATTTTAGCCTGGCCTCTTGTCCATTAAATGCACTGTTCTTTGCTCGACATGTAGTTCATTTTATGGCGAACCAGAAGGCAGTTTGCTTTGAAGTCACTTTCCCGCTCTAAAACCTTTAGTGGCTCTCTGTTCCCTCTGGCATCGAATACAGACTCCTTAGCCTAGTACCTGGTCTTAACTTTCCTGGAAAGCCAAAGGGGATGATTTGCTGTTCCCAACACATGCCCAGGGACTTTAAAATTTTCCTCTATGCATTCATTTATTCTCTTACCCTCATCTTTTATATCTTTCCCTCCTCCTCCTCTTTCTTTTTCTTTTTTTTTTTTTTGACGGGGAGTTGCGCTCTGTTTCCCAGGCTGGAGTGCAGTGGGGCGATCTTGGCTTACTGCAATCTCTGCCTGCCGGGTTCAAGTGATTTTCCAGCCTCAGCCTCCCGAGTAGCTGGGATTACAGGCACCCGTCACCACATCTGGCTATTTTTTGTATTTTTAGTAGAGATGGGGTTTCACCATGTTGGCCAGGCTGGTCTTGAACTCCTGACCCCAGGTGATCCACCCGCTTTGGTCTCCCAAAGTGCTGGGATTACAGGCATGAGCTATCCCGCCTGGCTGACATTCTCAAGTAGTGTCCTGCCCATGGTAGATTCTTAGTAAATATTTATTGAATTAAATTAGCAAATTCATATATTGTGCTTTGGGGGAACACTTCCATTCTCAAGGTTAATTATTTGTTTCATTAATTAAGGACTTCTGCTTTTAATCGAGATGTTGTCTTGAGATATTTGGGGAAACTGGCTTTTCAGATGCCACGACTTAAGACCTGAGAAATGCAAACCTTCTTGTAAGACGCAAGCAGCTGATCATTCCCAAGGGCTTGAGCTTCTGTGTTAAATGCACAGTAAGCTGTGATAAAAGGGGAGGCAGACACACTATTCTTTTTGTGTTTTGGACCAAGCCTTCAAAATCTGCTTTACACTTACAGCACATTTCACATTGGATGCTAACTTTTCATCAGAAATATTTGATCTGGATTTCTATTTGGTTATATTTACAACTGGCAAAGTAGATTGACATCAGTAAGTCCTAATCATTCTTTAAAATGCTCCAGGAACTGAATCAGATTTGAGTTAAAAACTAAGATTAAAGTAGATGAAAATTAAATAAAATAAAAAATTCACTTTTTTAGTCATACTAGCCACGTTTCAAGTATACAATAAATAGCCATGTGTGGTTTGTAGTGATCTCATTGGACGATGCCAGATCTGGATGTTTCGTGAGCACCATCTTCCCCAAATCCTCACAGACTGTTTCTTACATAATGCCACCACCAGACAATTGACCTAGAAGGTAGAAGTTCAAGGGTTATCCTTGACTTATACCTCTCCCCATCTCAAGTAGCTGGGATTACAAGTGCACGCCACCATGTCTGAGTATTTTATTTTATGTAGAGATGGGGTTTAGCTATGTTGCCAAGGCTGGTCTCAAATGCCTGGCCTCAAGTGATCCTCCCATCTTAGCCTCCTCAGTAGCTGGAATTAGACTGTTCTTCCTAACATGCAGATCTGACCATTCACTCACATTCTCTGCTCCAGTTGAGTCTTACTGCTGTCCCTTGAGTTTCCTGTGAAATCTCTAGGTCTTTGCACATGATATTCTGTCTCTCTAGAATCCTATTTCTTCTCTCCTTCCACCTCCTGCCTATTGTTTGGTTTGCCTTCACCAAGAAGCCGTCCTGGATTCCTTCCAGTCTGCACTAGGTGCTCCTTCTTGGTGCTCTCACATCTCTGTGCTTCCCCTCCTCTGCTACCTTCTAGCATTGATGACAGAGCTTGTTGTGAGACTGGATTTGGTCTGTTTGTTCATTGCTGCATCCCCAGTGCCTAGAGTCAGCACCTGTCAACATGCATGAATAAATTACAGACCTGCCCCCCAAACCAACCTGTCATCTTGATGCCTATTGTTCAAAAGCATCTCAGTGATGGGAAACATAACCAGCCCCACTTTCTGGAAAATCAACCCCAGCACAAGTCTGACACGCAGTGGGCCAATGGTCCTGGTGTCCATGGTGACAGAGCAGCTAACGTAGCTCCCAAAGCATGCCTTGAACCACTGGAATAGTTGTTCCACTTTTGCAGCCTCGCTTGAAATCTATCAATGGCTTCCTATTGCTTTGAGGGTAAAACTCAGACTCTTCCTACAGCCCACAAGGGACGGAGTGATCTGACCGTGCCCTGCTCTCCCATCTCATCTTTTCCTGCTTCCTTTCTTCATCTCTACTCTCCCCCGGCTCTCTTGGCTCCAGCCACACCACACTGATCGCTCTGTTTCCACCTCTGCATTTGCTGTTCCTTCTGGCTGGTGCCTCTCCTCCTTCTGGTTTCAGCTTAAATGGCTTTTCCTTTAAGAAACCTTCCTTGGGTCGGTGAGGTGGCTCATGCCTATAATCCCAGCACTTTGGGAGGCCAAGCGAGGCAGATCACCTGAGGTTGGGAGTTCGAAACCAGCCTGGCTAACATGGTGAAACCCCGTCTCTACTAAAAATACAAAAATTAGCTTGGCGTGGTGGTAGGCGCCTGTAATTCCAGCTACTTAGGAGGCTGGGGCAGGAGAATCGCTTGAACCCAGGAGGTGGAGGTTGCAGGGAGCAGAGGTTGCACTACTGCACTCCAGCCTGGGCAACAGAGTGAGACTCTGTCTCAATTAAAAAAAAAAAAAAAAAAAGCCTTCCTTGATCTATCTAAAGGAGCAGCTCACTTAGTCCCTCTGCAGTCCATTATCTTATTTGATTATCTTCAAAGCACTTAAACATGTCTAAAATTATTATTTTATTTATTTATTTATTTTTGAGATGGAGTGTCACTCTGTTGCCCAGGCTGGAGTGCAGTGGCATGATCTTGGCTCACTGCAAGCTCCGTCTCCTGGGTTCATGCCATTCCCCTGCCTCAGCCTCCCGAGTAGCTAGGACTACAGGCGCCTGCCGCCACGCCCAGCTAATGTTCTGTATCTTATCTTTAGTAGAGACAGGGTTTCACCGTGTTAGCCAGGATGGTCTCGATCTCCTGACCTTGTGATCCACCCACCTTGGCCTCCCAAACTGCTGGGATTATAGGTGTGAGCCCCCGCACCCACCTGTCTAAAGTTATTTTATGCATTTACTTTCTTAGTTACAGTTATTTCTCCCCATTTGAATGTAAATTCTTTGAGGACAAAGATTTCGTCATCTTGTTCATGGCTGTTTTCCCAAAGCCCAGAACAGTGCTTTAAACATAGTAGGTGCTCAATAAAACCCTTGTTCAATGAATGAACCATTAGATAATTCAGCTTTTTAGTAAGCAGAACACTTCCAAGAACCAGTTATAGGTAGATGTCAAGCATTCTTTCTTTCTTACCTTTTAGCTTGTTAATCAGTTTCACTGATCAAATGCAATGGTATCTTTTCATTTTCACAGGAGAGAGCTGGTTCACAGCTCCCTGGTTTTATGAGTTTAGACAAATGAATGCAGTCATGTAACCACCACCACGACTGATGGTGCAGACACCTGAGCATTCTTTTTACTTCCCTAGGAAAGGTGCAAGAATTTTGCCATGGGAAAGTCATTCCTGCCACTCTTCTGGCAATGTGTTAGTTCCATCCAGATCCCTACTCATCCTACCCAGAGCATCTTGGATTGTTTTTTTTTCGGGAGTACAATGGCACAATCTCGGCCCACTGCAACCTCCGCCTCCCGGGTTCAAGGGATTCTCCTGCTTCAGCCTCCTGAGTAGCTGAGATTACAGGTGCGCACCACCACGCCCAGCTAATTTTTGTATTTTTGGTAGAGATTGGGAGGGGGGGTTCA